>NC_000007.14:144912925-145064440 GCF_000001405.40 Homo sapiens
GAGTTCGAGACCAGCCTGGCCAACATGGCGAAACCCCATCTCTACTAAAGATACAAAAAATTAGCCAGGTGTGGTGGCACGCACCTGTAATCCCATCTACTAGGTAGACTGAGGCTGGAGAATCGCTTGAACCTGGGAGGCAGAGGTTGCAGTGAGCTGAGATCATGCCATTGCACTCCAGCTTGGAAGAGAGGGTGAGACTCCATCTCAAAAAAAAAAAAAAAAAAAAGGCCACTTGCATAGGTGAAGGTGATCTTTGATTCAATGCTAATCTGTTGGAATGAGGTACCAGTATGTATACAACTTGGATAAACTTTGAAAATATTACACTAAGTGAAGGAAGCCAGGCACAGAAGTCCACATATCATATCATTTCATCCACATGAGAATCCAGACAGGAAAATCTATAGATACAGAAAGCAGATTAGCTGTTGCTTAGGGTTGAGGGGAGAGGGGATTGAAAGGGGTGATAGCTAATAGGATTTCATTTTGAGATGATGAAAATATTCTAAAACTGTGAGGTAGCGCATATCTGTGAATATATTAAATACCGTTGAGTTGTACACTTTGGGTGAATTATACAGTATGTGGATTATATCTTGATAAAGCTGGTTAAAAACAACTAAGTGTTACATCCCTTCCCTACTAATCAGCTTTCATGTGGAACATGCTACGGTCACACAGTCCAATGCTGAGAACATAGACTTGGTCCATTAACTGGCAGTTGGCTCTGGGAACTGCTGAACATTCCAAACCTCAGGTTCCCCCACTGTAAATTCATAAAATAGGGCAACAGCACCTGCCTTACAGGGTCTCTGGGAGGGTTTTAGATAATCAATATTAAGTACTTGGCTTATAGTATACAATATTATTTTTATAATGGTTTTTTCCAAATTGAAGAAAAAAAAATTTCCTCATACAGAGTTTATAGTTCAATAGAAAGGTCAAATTTTCAAGAAAAATATTTAAATATTTTAAGAGAAGTTTGCTTTATCCCCAGCCTGTCATAGCAAAACAAGAGTATGCTGGGTCAAAAGAAATTTTGATATTTGATTGTTTCATTTTATTTTATTTTTTTGAGACAGAGTCTCACTCACCCTGTTGCCCAGGCTGGAGTGCAGTGATGCAATACTGGCTCACTGCAATCTTCACCTCCCCGGTTCAAGTGATTATCCTGCCTCAGCCTCCCAAGTTGCTGGGACTACAGGCATGTGCCACTATGCCTGGCTAATTTTTTTTTGTATTTTTGGTAGAGGCAGGGTTTCTCCATGTTGGCCAGGCTGGTCTCCAACTCCTGACCTTAACTGATCTGCCCACCCTGGCCTCCCAAATTGCTGGGATTACAGGTGTGAGCCACCATGCCTGGCCTGCATGTTTTATTTCACAGAAGGTAAATTTGAACCAAATTTTTCACTGGGTGTGAGGATATTTGACACAGTCTTGGTTTCCTGTGTGTAAAGATGGCATTGTTTCTACTAAAGCACAGATGTGCTCTCTTCTGCATTGTGCATAAAATAGTGAAAAACTAGGAACATCCAAGTGTCCAAAAATAGGGGAAAGGTTAAGTTAATTATTCTATTACTTCATGATGATGCAGTCACTTTATATTTTTTTGTAGAATTTTGTAGAAAGAAAATGAACAAGATAATATGACAAAAATAGAATAACAATACACATAAATACACATCCAACCAATACCGTACCACAGCCTTCTGAAAAGTATACATTGATAGATTAAAAACAAAGTTTGGGAAAGGACATAAAATTTAGTTGTGGTTTTATTATGTTGGTGGGACTCCAGCTGCCTTTTATTTTAAATAATTTACATTGTTTTAAAGTTGGTTTAATAACATACAGAAACTGTAATAGGTTAAAAATACCTACCGCTCCTTGTCCTCTATTTTATGGACTCTATTAAGAGAGATAAAAGAAAAGTTAATGATAAAGGAAGGTGGACAGTATTGACGAAACTCCCAGCTCTTAGCAAAGGAGCTATCTTAAGGGTAATAGGTTATACTTGACAACATCCTGAAAGGACATTTTTAAGGCTGATGAATGATGTCCGCAAGCCTGCTAATTAGCTGCATCCCCATGAGCAAGCCATTTAACCTCTAAGGATCTCAATTCCCTCATTTGTAAAATAAGGGATTAAAAAATACCTTTTTGACATGCAAAGATGTGGAAGTTGGGGCTTGAGTAAAAAGCAGCCATCTTAAATTCTCAGGGGAAGCTTGTGTCTTACACAACTATGTGATCTGCGTTGCACATGGAGAAAATGAAACCCAGAGTTCTGGGATGAGGGCCACATCCAGAGATGAGGGGACCCTGTCTACTATTTTTTTTTTTTCCTACTCTTCAAGGATTGCTGCTGCTTGTCCTTGTGTACTGGGATACTATTAAAGTTTTTTTAAAAAGTTAATTGCAAAGGAAGATGAGCAGTAGAACTCCCCCTAAAGACATCACAAAGAAACAATTTCAAGACATAATATTGCATATAAGATTTCCTGTGATAAAAATTTATTAAATATACTTACCTATGTGATACTGTGTTAGAATTAGGCAGATTCTCTTTCCCTGGTAACCTGCAGTTTCAGGAATTGAAGCCATCACTGAGGCACACATGAATTTAAAAGGCAACCAGGCCAATGAACACACATCAAATAAGCACACACATTAAGTACAATTAAATTCTCAAGTAAGAGGACAGACTAAAACTGCTTCTTAAAAGAGATGCTAAGTACTTTCTGTTGTGGATGAGAAGAAAATTGTAGTGGTTATATCACTACTAACTCTGAACTCAGACAATTGGGAAGTGAGAGAGGGTCATCGGTAATCTGTCTCAGAGTTCATTAAAAGGATGAAAGAGGACTGTACGTTTTAATTTACATGTTTCTACTGCTTATCTTCCATGAGCAGTAGTCTTCCTATGGACAGGACCATTTTATATGAATTCCAAAGCCTTAGAACTGAGCTTGTAGGAATTTACTGGCTCCAGGCATCACGCAGCCAAAATTGTATGCATGCTTGACTGCAAAACCAGAAGGTGAGTCCTTATTCTGTTCTCTTCTGATGGTGCTCCCATGCAGCATGGAGGCTCCCTCATCACCTAGGTCCTCCCCACCCTTCCTGTGCTCCCTCATGTTCTCAGCAATGTTATCTCCTTTTCTGCTTGTTCTCAACCTGGAGGCTGATAAACTGTTAGCACTTAGCTTTTGGGGTCTGTATGCCACTGTTAGCTTGCCCTTCCTTATCAGGATTTTTTAGGATGCCTACACTTAACTTACTAATTCTCAGGGCTTCATTTCACCTCTATTTTCCTGTTTGAAATGGCTTTACCAGTACCTAAGGTCTGATTCGATCCTGAACAGTGCCATCGGGGAATAGTAAGGAAGCTCATGTCTCTTCTGATGTTGGAGAGCCATCTACCAGGTTTCCTATAACAGATACTCTATGATATGTTCTTATTTTTTTAACAGAAAATTATTTATTCTTATTGAAAATATATATTGCTTTAAAATATTAGCTCTTCATCTCTGAACTGGAGATTAGAAAAAATAAAATATTTGCTAAATTGATATTTCTGGAAAATGTTTATCTTTTTTATTTTTATTTTTTGAGATAGATCTCGCTCTGTTGCCCAGCCTGGAGTGCAATGGCGTGATCTTGGCTCACTGCAACCTCCACCTCCCAGGCTCAAGCAATTCTCGCACCTCAGCCTCCCGAGTAGCTGGGACTACAGGTGTGTGCCACCATGCCTGGCTAATTTTTGTATTTTTAGTAGAGACATGTTGGCCAGGCTGGTCACAAACTCCTGACCTCAGGCAACCTGCGTACCTTGGCCTCCCAAAGTGCTGGGATTATAGGCATAAGCTACCACGCCTGGCCTTGTTTATCTTTTAAATAGGTGTATTTTATTGTATGAAGACAGATAGTAGAACTAATCTTGTTGCTTTTTTGTTGTTGTTGTTCATTGACCATTTTATTTTGTTCTGTTCCTATTTAAAACTGGTAGAAATATTTAAAATGAGATCTGCTCTTTTAAATTTTTAAGTGTACAAAACTATTGCTAACTATAGGCACATTGTTATATAGCAGATAAAGGTCTCTAGAACTCATTCATCTGGCATAACTGAAACTTTACGCCTGTCGAATAGCAACTCCCATTTTCCTCCTCCAGCCATCTCCTGGCAACATCATTCTACTCTATTTCTGTGAGTTTGACTGTTTTAGATACCTAATATAGGTGATGTCACACAGTGTTTGTCCTTCTGTGACTGGCTTATTTCACTTTGCATAATGTCCTCCAGGTTTCTGTTTGTTGCATATAACAGGATTTCCTTCCTTTTCTACAGCTGAATAATATTTCCTTATATGGATATACTATGTTTTCTTTATCCATTGGTCAGTGGAAATTTAGATTGTTTCCATGTTGCGTCTATTGTGAATTTGTGGTTCTCTGACACTAGTGATGTTGAGCATCTTTTCATATACCTGATGGTCATTTGTGTGCCTTCTTTTCCGAAATGTCTATTCCAGTCCATTTTTAATTGTGTGAAGTTTCTTTTTTTTCTTTTGCTATTGAGTTTTAGGAATTCCTTGTATATTTTGCATATTAGTCCCTTATCAGATATATGGTTTGCAAAATTTTTTCCCATTCTCTAGGTTGCCTTCTCACTTGTTGATTGTGTCTTTTGCTGTGCAGAATTTTAGTTTGATCCCGCTTGTCTAATTTTGCTTTTGTTGCTTGTGCTTTTAGTGTCATATAAAATATTTTTTAAAAACTTAACAGAGTATTATAAAATAAGCATATTTTGGCAATTCCTGAGATAACCAGATACTTAGGTTATGCCCCAACCAGAGAAAATGGGACTTTATAAAACATAAGCAGGATTTGGTATTATAAGAGAAACCCTGTGAATCTTGATGATAGGTTCTAATATCTTTCCTCATGCTGAGGTAAAATGCTATATTTCACAGTTAATTCATCATTCTAGTCAAATAATGATAAAAATAGACATTTTATTGCATTTTTAATGTCATTTTGTCATGGCTTAAAAACACCATCAGCAGGAGGGCGACAGGTAAGTCATAATGCTGGAGAAAGAATGAGAGCTGTTTAAATTAGGTTTAAAGAAAACTATGGGCAGGGCACAGTGGCTCACACCAGTAATACCAGCACTTTGGGAGGCCAAGATGGGTGGATCACCTGAGGTCAGAAGTTTGAGACCAGCCTGGCCAAACATGGCAAAACCCCCGTCTCTATTAAAAATACAAAAATTAGCCAGGCGTGGTGGCAGGTGCCTGTAGACCCAGCTACTCCAGAGGCTGAGGCAGGAGAATTGTTTGAACCTGGGAGGTGGATGCAGTGAGCCGAGATTGTGCCACTGCACTCCAGCCTCGGGGACAGAGTGAGACTCCATCTCAAAGAAAGAGAGAGAGAGAGGCCAGGGCACAGTGGCTCATGCCTGTAATCCCAGCACTTTGGGAGGCTGACGTGGGTGGATCCACGAAGTCAGGAGACTGAGACCATCCTGGCCAACATGGTGAAACCCTGTCTCTGCTAAAAATACAAAAATTAGCTGGGTGTGGTGGCACGTGCCTGTAATTCCAGCTATTCAGGAGGCTGAGGCAGGAGAATCGCTTGAACCAGGGAGTTGGAGGTTGCAGTGAGCCAAGATCGCACCACCGCACTCCAGCCTGGAAGCAGAGCAAAACTCCATCTCGGAAAAAAAAATAAAAAGGAAAACTATGAAAGACAACATAGAAGATGATTTAAATTAATGAGTGTTGTACCAATAACAGACAGCCAAATCATGAGTGAACTCTCATTCACAATTGCTTCAAAGAGAATAAAATACCTAGGAATACAACTTACAAGGGATGTGAAGGAGCTCTTTAAGGAGAATTACAAACCACTGCTCAACAAAATAAGAGGACACAAACAAATGGAAGAACATTCCATGCTCGTGGATACAAAGAATATCATGAAAATGGCCATACCACCCAAGGTAATTTATAGATTCAGTGCCATCCCCATCAAACTACCAATGACTTTCTTCACAGAATTGGAAAAAACTACTTTGAAGTTCATATGGAACCAAAAAAGAGCCTGCATTGCCAAGACAATCCTAAGCCAAAAGAACAAAGCTGGAGGCATCATGCTACCTGACTTCAAACTATACTATAAGGCTACAGTAACCAAAACAGCATGGTACTGATACCAAAACAGAGATATAGATCAATGGAACAAAACAGAGCCCTCAGAAATAATACCACACATCTACAACCATCTGATCTTTGGCAAACCTGACAAAAACAAGCAATGGGAAAAGGATTTCCTATTTAATAAATGGTGCTGGGAAAACTGGCTAGCCATATGTAGAAAGCTGAAACTGGATCCCTTCCTTACACCTTATACAAAAATTAATTCAAGATGGATTAAAGACTTAAATGTCAGACCTAAAGCCATAAAAACCCTGGAAGAAAACCTAGGCAATACCATTCAGGACCTAGGCATGGGCAAGGACTTCATGTCTAAAACACCAAAAGCAATGGCAACAAAAGCCAAAATTGACAAATGGGATCTACTTAAAGAGCTTCTGCACAGCAAAAGAAACTACCATCAGAGTGAACAGGCAACCTACAGAATGGGAGAAAATTTTTGCAATCTACCCATCTGACAAAGGGCTAATATCCAGAATCTACAAAGAACTCAAACAAATTTACAAGAAAAAAACAACTCCATCAAAAAGTGGGCAAAGGATATGAACAGACACTTCTCAAAAGAAGACATTTATGCAGCCAACAGATACATGAAAAAATGCTTGTCATCACTGGCCATCAGAGAAATGCAAATCAAAACCACAATGAGATACCATCTCACACCAGTTAGAATGGTGATCATTAAAAAGTCAGGAAACAACAGGTGCTGGAGAGGATGTGGAGAAATAGGAACACTTTTACACTGTTGGTGGGACTGTAAACTAGTTCAACCATTGTGGAAGTCAGTGTGGCGATTCCTCAGGGATCTAATACTAGAAATACCATTTGACCCAGCCATCCCATTACAGGGTATATACCCAAAGGATTATAAATCATGCTGCTACAAAGACACATGCACACGTAATTTTATTGAGGCACTATTCACAATAGCAAAGACTTGGAACCAACCCAAATGTCCATCGATAGACTGGATTAAGAAAATGTGGCACATATACACCATGGAATACTATGCAGCCATAAAAAAGGATGAGTTCATGTCTTTTGTAGGGACGTGGATGAAGCTGGAAACCATCATTCTGAGCAAACTATCACAAGGACAGAAAACCAAACACTGCGTGTTCTCACTCATAGGTGGGAATTGAACAATGAGAACACTTGGACACAGGGTGGGGAACATCACACACTGGGGCCTGTTGTGGGGTGAGGGGAGGGGGAGGGGGGAGGGATAGCATTAGGAGATATACCTAATGTAAATGACGAGTTAATGGGTGCAGCACACCAACATGGCACATGTATACATATGTAACAAACCTGCACGTTGTGCACATGTGCCCTAGAACTTAAAGTATAATAATAAAAAAATTAGTGAGTATTGTTATCCTTGGCAATCACTGGTTTCATAAAACCCTTAATAATTTAAAATGAGAATGTCTGCTTCTTTCCCCATTTCCTTACAACAATTTCACATTTTGGAAGCTTCCTGCTTTGTCAAAATGTGCTTTGTAGAAGTACCTTAACACAGAGGATGTGGAAACCTTGGATATGAAGCAGGAAGGGGATCACGTTCACTACTGTCCTGCAGTCATATCCAGTGTGGCTGTAAAAGAGACATGCTGGCTGGGCGTGGTGGCTCACGCCTGTAATCCCAGCACTTTGGGAGGTGGGCGGATCACCTGAGGTCAGGAGTTCAAGACCAGCCTGGCCAACATGATGAAATCCCATCTCTACTAAAAATACAAAAATTAGCTTGGCGTGGTGTCAGAGGCCTG
The DNA here is from genome assembly GCF_000001405.40 of Homo sapiens. Lineage (NCBI taxonomy): Eukaryota > Metazoa > Chordata > Mammalia > Primates > Hominidae > Homo > Homo sapiens. Next base: position 144,920,917 of record NC_000007.14, read on the forward strand.
TAATCCCAGCTACTTGGGAGGCTGAGGCAGGAGAATCACTTGAACCTGGGAGGCTGAGGTGGCAGTCAGCCGGGATTGTGGCATTGTACTCCAGCCTGGGTAACAAGAGTGAAACTCCACCTCAAAAAAAAAAAAAAAAATTCACGTCTGCTCCACAAACAGAGCATTAAGCTCCTTGAGAGCAGCAACTGTGTCATATCCATCTTTATATCTTGTGCATTTCCTACTTCTCATTCCAGATCTTCTCCAACCTCAGCACCTAGTGCAGTGCCTGGCATATTCTAAGTACTCAGCACATTTTTTGCTATAACTAACGTGATATAAAATAAGAGATTTCTTAGATGGTTCCTCAGAATCTAGCCTTTTCCTCCTTCTCAATAGCCCACGGTTTTAGCTGTGTGATTTAGGTTAGACAGACACCACTGTCAGCTCCTAAGTTAGAACGTAACTGCCTTAAGAAAACATGTCCCCTTCCCTTGACTGCAGGGGTTGGTTGAGGCATTTGTGTCAAGTCAAGCCAAAGGGTCCCATAAAATTTAAAATCTAGATTTTTTTTTTTGTTTGAATTCTTCATGCAGCAGACTTTTTTGAACTTTAAACCTGGGACTGTGTAGCTCAGGAAAATGCAAAAGCGATTTTAGGGTCTCCAGAGGGGAACCTAACAAAAATGGAACCCATATTGAGGAGGCAGGACAAAAAAATTGAGAGAGTTTTCAGTTGGGTCCAGTTTACATCCTTTTTTTTTTTTAAGCCACTGAAAAAGACTTGCCTAAAGCCTAATTATCTTGGGACTTTCAATTCGCTTTGGCAATCAGTTCTCTTTGTAGTTTGACCGTGTAAGCTGGGTTTTGTTTTGTTTTGTTTTGTTTTTAAATTTTCAATCAAAAGCATCCTATTATACCATAGATTCTCTAAAAAGAGAAGGATCTTTCGAGGCCACTGCCTCAGTGTCTGGCAAATGTCCTCACTCACACCTCTCCATGTCCCTCAGTGTGCCCAGGAATGGCAGACCCCATGGAGTAAACTCTGCGGTAGGTCCTGCTGTTCTCAAAATCCTGGGAGTGGATTCTTCCCAGAGTGTCTTGTGTTGAACCACATTTCACCCATCCTCAGAAGGACCCTCTCCTCCATGAAATAGAATGATAACATGTCTTCTCCTCTTGTTGGATCCTTTGTGATCAATGGGCCCCACGCAGTTTGCTTTCTTTGGCTAAATGCTGAAAAATGTATTTGCATTTGATTATTGAACATTGGTTAGTTCTCAGTTATTGACTTAACCAAAAGTCTATCCATATAAACACATGAAATTGATCTTGAGCACTTCAGAATTAAACACATACATACACACAAATCAAAAAAAGAAATATAGTGAGGGTATTTAACATTATCAAATTTCAGTAATTTAACAATTACATTTTAGAGAAAATTCTATGACTGTTTCATGCTACTCTTCAGGATAGCACGTAGTCATGTAGTGGTGTTTATAGAAAAAGTAATTATGTTGTAGGTAAGCCTCATCAAAGCTTATAGAGTTCAGTTCTGTACTTACAATGTCAACTGAATACAAATAGCAGTAAAACTGAATGGAAGATTCAACCATTCCTCTAAGAATTTATGATTAAAGTTACACAGGCAAATCCAATGAGATATAGCAAATAATTATTTAATAAGTTGATAATCTTAAAAAAATTCTTTTCCTACTTCTACTTCTATTTTACTCCATTTGCCTAGGTAGGTAAATTTGTTTCAGCCAGTTATGATAGGATTATTAAATTATTTGAGCAGCTATCTTTACTGGAAAGAACACTGTACCAGTCTGTATTGTTTAAATTCACTGGTCACATATTAGGATTCTATAGTGATTATTTTTTCGTGATAGTGTATGTGTGATCTCAATATACAGTGTTAATTCTGTGTAGTGAGTGCTTCTAGCCCTCCAAGGGCTGAGTATAAGCCAAGGAACTGAATAAAATATCCAGAAGGGGAAAATTAGTAAAAAATCTTTAGATGATCTCTTAGGTGACTGTAATTTTGCTCTTCAAAAAAATATCTTAACGAAAGAAGATAATTAGACTTAGCCATAAAATTGTCAGTGCTTAAGTCAGCCCCTAACTTAGATATACCCTTGTAAACATTACCTCTGAATCAGCTAGCCAGTTTTTATGCATTTGCTCTGTCTGAAATTTAATCAGGTACCCTCTCTCTTGATGGGCGTTCCTTCTGTGGTTCACACACACCCAGCGATCTCTCTTTAAACTGATTTCTTATTTTTTTCCTCTTTCATTTTCACCTTATTTTCATCAGTTCTGATCTGTCTTTCCTCTGATATGTTGCATTCTACATGTGCCAAAAACCTGGGGTAGGACATTGTTCAAGATGGACATGATCATTCCCTTATGGCCCTTACCATCTAGAGGGGATAACCAAATGTTTAATGGGCAACGACAACTCGGTGCAATAAGATCTACAAAGGGGAGCACAGAGCATAGATATCGAGCCTGCATTTTGGGGTCAGAATTGACATTTCAGAAATGGAAACCTTTAAGGTTTGGAGAATGGCAAAGTCTTATCCAGGAAAAAGTGCTGGAGAAGCATGGGTTCAAGGTAGTGGGGACACAAAGATTAATTTCCAGAATTAAGACAGTGTGTATTTGATTTGAAGAATTAGAGAAAACTCAGTATCACTGGGATGTAAAACGAGATCAGGAGAGCAAAATAGACAGCTGCAGGGTAAGCAATAACCAGATAATCCACATCTTGTAAAAAAAAAACAAAAAAAAAAACAAAAAAAAAAACACAGTTGGGCTTTTGCTAAGAACAATGGAAAAACTTTGTATGGTTTAAGTAAGAAAATGTCAAGAGTAAATTTTTAATTTAGAAATAATCATCTAGTCCTGAGCACTGAGAATGGATCAGAGCAGACCAGGTAAGGGACTCATGCATTATTATAGGTAAGAAACAGCCAGAAAAGTAAATAGAGTTTGGACTTGATGAGTTTGAAGTGGCTCTGGACCATTTAAATGTAGATGTTTGGCAAGGAGCTACATAGTCATGCACCACAACGATAGATCGCATCAACAACGGTGGTCCCATAAGATTATAATACTATATTTTTACTGGACCTTTTCAAAGTTTAAATACACAAATACCATTGTGTTACAATTGCCTGTAGTATTCAGTGCAGTATCATGCTGTACAGGTTTGTAGCGTAGGCACCATAGGTGCCGTACATACCATACAGCCTGGGTGCGTAGTAGGGTATACCATCTAGGTTTGTGGAACCATGCTCTGTGATGTTCACACAACAATGAAATTGCATAACAGTGCATTTCTCAGAATGTATCCCCATCATTGAGCAATGCATGATTGTATATCATAACATTACTGTGTATCCCATAATTATATGATAATTTTTTAAAATAAAGTGAATTAAATCTAATGTATCTATCCCTGTTTATAAGATATATACTCTTTTCCAGTATAAAGGTGTGCAAAGATATTTGAAGTTAAAAACTACATTTTTTCTAACTGCAGTTTTCCAAAGATCTAATATAAACTATGTATACTATGAATGATAAGAAACTGTTTATTGATTGATTAACATTGATCAGAGATCCTAGGATCTCATTTAATATTCAGAAAGTAGACAGAATGGGGAGGCATGCTAGATACATATTCACCCAAGTGTAGAACACAGGGCAGTGAAAGAAATGAGATGGTGTTTGGTTCAACGTCCCTGAAAGGAAAATCACTGGTAGGTTGGTTCCTTGTGACCCTGAAATATTGTTCACTTAAAACTGATTCTTTCATTTCAATAAGCCCAAGGATGATTCTTTTAGACTAGAGAAAGAAAAGTGTTCATTTTTCTTTTATGAATCAGTAACTCACTGAAACTAAATCAATTTTGCATCACAAACAAGCAAAAGTAACTTATTTGATATTTAAGATACAATACAAATATATGTACTATCTGATCAGTTAAAATGACATACTGTGGAAAGTTACAAAAGTGATAGAGAAGGGAGAAAGGAAAGGAAAAAGTTAAAGATACGAAGAAAGGGAGGAAAAATGTAAAGGGGAAGGAAAAGAGGATACACAAGGAAAAGGAGAGAGAGACAAAAAAGAGGGCTTCAGAAAATTGTAATAAACATGCGTGTGCAAGTATCCTTTTCAAATAATGACTTCTTTTCCTCTGGGTAGATACCCAGTAATGGGATTGCTGGATCAAATGGTGGCTCTACTTTTAGTTCCTTAAGGAATCTCCACACTGTGTACCCTAATAGCTTATGGAAAAAAAAATCTTAAAACTCATCACACACACAGAAAAGAAAATTGTAATAATAATTACAAGCATAATTTCTAAGTTACTTCCTTTGGAAGAATTTTCACCTTGATCATTTGTTTTCCATGCTAGAACAGGAGTTTTTTTTTTTTTTAACAATTAAAAATTTTTATTTTATTTTAAATTGTCAATTTATATATTTTTTTTACTTTAAGTTCTGGGATAATGTGCTGAACGTGCAGGTTTGTTACATAGATTATACGTGTGTGATGGTGGTTTGCTGTGCCTATCAAGCTGTCATCTAGGTTTTAAGCCCCGCCTGTATTAGGTATTTGTCCTAATGCTCTTCCTCCCCTTTCCCTCTATCCCCCAACAGGCCCCGGTGTGTGACGTTCCCCTTCCTGTGTCCATGTGTTCTTATTGTTCAGCTCTCACTTATGAGTGAGAACATGCAGAGTTTGGTTTTCTAGAACAGGGGTTCTTATTCGCATTTTACAGAGGAGAAAATTCATCAAGTCAGTAGCACAACTGGAGTTGAGATCCTTGTCTCTTTATTTCCAGTCCTCTCTGCTGATATGGTGTTTAATGGATGTAAATGACACTTGTTCTGCAGTTCCCTTGGTTTGAATGTCTCCGAGTAAGTTGTCACCTGTTATTTCTACTCTTTGAAATTCTGATTACAGTGCCTCTGGTGGCATAGAGCCACATCTTACATGAGAAAACAGCTTGTCAGTTTTTATTTCCAAACCTTTAAGTTTATTTTTGAAATAAATGTTTACTTCCCCATGGGCTTCTGAATCTTTTGCAGGTGTGTGAAGGAATGATTCGGGCTTTAGCAAATTGCTTTGGAACATTAAAGATATCTCTCAATTTACTAGCTATCACCTGTAGTCCCATTGGCATAGAAAACTGTCAGATTGTTTTATTTTATTCTTTCAGTGGTCAGATTGTTTTCATTATAGAAAAGTAAAAAGTTTACATTTATAATTGGAGTCTATTTGCTTTGAGATGAAATATTTTTTTCCCTTTACGTATTTAAAAAATCTAAGCCAGAGGTCATATTCAAAAATTTAATAAGAAGTGTGGAGGGGGAAACACCGATTGGAATAAATGCCCATCCCTACCGGCATATGGGCTAAAAATATCCACTCTTTTCTAATTCCTATTGGGAATAATACAGAAATCTCAAATCCTAGGTACTCTCCATTAAGAAAATCCTTCAGGCTGGGCACGGTGGCTCACGCCTGTAATCTCAGCACTTTGGGAGGCTGAGGTGGGCGGATCACGAGGTCAGGAGATGGAGACCATCCTGGCTAACACAGTGAAACCCCGTCTCTACTAAAAAATACAAAAAATTAGCCGGGCGTGGTGGCGGGCGCCTATAGTCCCAGCTACTTGGGAGGCTGAGGCAGGAGAATGGCGTGAACCTGGGAGGCGGAGCTTGCAGTGAGCCGAGGTTGTACCACTTCACTCCAGCCTGGGGGAGAGCCAGGCTCTGTCTCAAAAAAAAAAAAAAAAAAAAAAAAAGAAAATCCCTTTAGGAATAAACAGTATTAACTGCACTCTTAACTAGTCTTACTACTTCATCTGTCTTACTCTGTCAAGCAGACTTGAGAGAAAATAATGAAGTGGAAGAGGGAAGCAGAGGAGAGAGGCAGAGAAAAACAAATACTTGAGTTATTGTATTAGTTTGTTCTCATGCTGCTAATAAACACATACCCAAGACTGGGTAATTTCGAAAGGAAAGAGGTTTAATGGACTCACAGTTCCACGTGGCTGGGAGGCCTCATAATTGTGGGGGAAGGTGAAGGGGAAGCAAGATACGTCTTACACGGCAGCAGGCAAGAGGGTGTGTGCAGGGGGAGCTGCTCTTTTATAAAACCATCAGATTTCGGGAGACTTATTCACTGTCCCAAGGACAGCATGGGAAAAACCCACCCCCATGATTCAATTATCTCCCACGGGTCCCTCCCATGGCATGTGGGGATTATTACAATTCAAGGTGAGATTTGGGTGGGGACACTGAGCCAAACCATATCAGTTAAGCTATTTTCTATTTTCGGTTTTAGCATTTCCAAATCCAGGGTACTTTGCTGACCTTGAATTCTGTGAGAACTGTTGAGCCCTTATGATAACTTCCTGCCTCCTTTTTTTATAATCAAAATTTTGAATATGAAGTTACGTACAGAAAAGTACACATGTCAATCAAATTTACAAAATAAACCCACCCATGTAACCACTATCCAGATCAAGACAAAGAGTGTTATTCAGAAACCCTGGCTATGCCTCTTCCTGCCAATTGTCCCCATTTTCCTTGTCAAAGGTAAGCATTATCCTGACGTCTAACATCATAGATTAGTTTTGCCTATTTTTGAATTTCATTTCAGTGGAATCGTAGAGTGTGTCTTTTTTATGCCTGGCTACCTTTGCTTAAAGCTATGCTTGTGAGAATCATCCACATTGTTGCATGTAGTGGAGCTGCCTTCATTTTTATTTCTATATTGAATTCCATTGTATCAATATACTGTAATAGATAATTGTCCATTCTACTGTTGATAGACATTTAGTTTGTTTCCAGTTTTGGGCCCTTAAGAATAATGCTGCGGTGAACATTCTTGAACATGTCTTTAGTATATGTGTATTCACATTTCTGTTGGATATATAACTTGGCAAAATAAAACATTTCTGAAATTTTCATTGTTCCCGTAAAGTTCTGGATGGGTGCAGTGGCCCACACCTGTAATCCCAACACTTTGGAAAGCTGAGGCAGGTGGATCATGAGGTCAAGAGATCGAGACCATCCTGGCCAACATGGTGAAACACTGTCTCTACTAAAAATCAAAAATTAGCTGGGCATGGTGGCATCGACCAGCTGGGCATGGTGGCATCGACCTGTAGTCCCAGCTACTCAGGAGGCTAAGGCAGGAGAATTGCTTGAACCCGGGAGGCGGAGGTGTCAGGGAGCCGAAATCACTCCACTGCACTCCAGCCTGGGCGACAGAGTGAGACTCTGTCTCAAAAAAAAAAAAAAAAAAAAAAAAGGCCTAGCCACAGAAACAAATATAGTCACGTGCCGCTTAATCAATGTTTTGCTCAATGACAAGCCGCATATATGATGATGGTCCCATGAGATTATAATGGAGCTGAAAAGTTCCTATAGCCCAGTGACATCTTAGCCATTGTAAGGTCATAGCACAATGCATTCATTACTCGTGTTTGTTGTGATGCTGGTGGAAACAAATCTGTGCTGCTGGTCATATAAACATATGGCACATACAGTTATGTGTTATATACAATACTTGATAATAATAAATGACTATTACTGGTTTATGTATTTACTTCTTTTATTTTTAATTTTGTTGTTATTATTATTATTTTTTTGAGACAGTCTTGCTCTGTTGCCCAGGCTGGAGTGCTGTGATATGCTATTGACTCACCACAACCTCTGCTTCCAGGGCTCACGTGGTCCTCCCACCTCAGCCTCCTGAGTAGCTGTGATTTTTTGTAGTGATGAAGTTTTGCCATGTTGTCTAGGCTGATCTCAAACTCCTAGACTCAAGCCATTGGCTTGCCTCAGAGTCCCAAAGTGCTGAGATTACAGGTGTGACCCAACGCGCCTGGCCTGTACTTTACTTCTTATTGTATTTTAGAGTGTACTCCTTCTACTTATAAAAACAAAAAGTTAACTGTACAACAGTCTCAGGTGGGTCCTTTGGGAGGGATTCCAGAAGAAGGCATTGTTATCCTAGGAGATGGCAGCTCCATGCATGTTACTGCTCCTGAAGACCTTCATGGGACACGATGTGGAGGTGGGGGACACAGTGACATGGATAATCTTGACCCTCTGTAAGCTTTGGGTAATATGTGTGTGTGTGCGCCTTGGTTTTTAACAAAAAAGTTTTAAGAGTAAAAAATAAGAAAAATTTAAAATAGAAAAAAGTTTATAGAATGAGGATATAAAGGAAGAAAATAATTTTGTACAGCTATGTAATGTGTGTTCTAAGTGTTACCACAAATAGGCCAAACTTTTTAAAAAAAAGTTAAAAGTTTATGCAGTAAAAATGTTTCAGTAAGTTAAGGTTAATTTATTATTGAAGAAAGAAAATTTAAAAAATAAATTTATAGTAGTGTAAATGTACAGTAGTTTTGAAGTCTACAGTAGGTTTGCAGCTTAGGAGCAATAGGCTATACCATCTAGCCTAGGTGTGTAGTGGTCTGTACCATCTAGGTTTGTGTGAGTACACGTATGATGTTCGCATAAGGACAAAATAGTCTAATGATGCATTTCTCAGAATGTGTACTCATGGTTAAATGATGCATGACTGTACACTATAAAGTTAGAGAATTTTGCTTCCACATTTCTTAGAAACACCTTCACATACTATGAAGATTAGATCTGTAGCCATAAATTTCCCTAACGAAGGAGTTAATTGCTCTGATCCCAAAGATGATAAAACATCTCTTATCTCCCCTAAAGCTAAAGGGATAGGCATCTAGGTTAGCTTTGCACCTGAAAAATCTGTAGCCTTATCCATTTAGACATTTGCATTTCAGGGAGGAATGAGACCCTCCTCAAGCCTCCTAAAAGCAAGACTCTCTGGCCATTGGGCTCCTGGAGAGGTTTTATTTACATACTAAAGAGCTGAAATCCAGAGGAGACACTTTCAGAAGGAGAGAGAAAAATTATTTCTCTCTTATCCCTAGTTTATGGAGAACCTTGCCACTGTGTATGAAGAATTTCCATGGCTTCATTGCAGGATCCCAGGTGAAAGGCCAGGGGTAAGGCAGACAGAGTAGACCACACGCATTATTTATGGTGAGATAACAATTAAGAAATCTATTTCTGACCCAGAACCCTTCATGTATGCATTCAGGGTAAAATTAATAAAAATGAATATTAAAACCCACTAACTAGGACTTAAATTGCTGCATCTTAAGGTATGTATATACTTAACCTTAGCAAATAGTTCCAAACTTTCTTTTAAAAAATAATTTCAGCCGGGCGCGGTGGCTCATGCCTGTAATCCCAGCACTTTAGGAGGTTGAGGCAGGCGGATCACGAGGTTAGGAGTTCGAGACCAGCCTGGCCAATGTAGTGAAACCCTATCTCTACTAAAAATACAAAAATTAGCCGGCTGTGGTGGCACGTGCCTGTAGTCCCAGCTACTCCGGAGGCTGAGGCGGGAGAATTGCTTGAATCTGGGAGGCGGGGGTTGCAGTGAGCCAAGACCATGCCATTGAGCTCTAGCCTGGGTGACAGAGTGAGACTTCATCTCAAAAAAAAAAAAAGATAAAAAAATTGTAACTTATATTTTAGGTTCGGGGGTACACGTGTAGGTTTGTACGTGGGTGTATTGCAGGATGATGAGGTTTGGGGTACAACTGATCCCATCACCCAGGTAGTAAGCAGAGTAATCAATAGTTTTTCAGCCCGTATCTCCCTCCCTTGCTTCCTTCTCTAGTATCTCCAGTGTCTATATTGTTGCCATCTGTATATCCATGAGTACCCAATGTTTAGCTCCTACTTAGAAGTGAGAACATGAGGCATTTGGTTTTTCTGTTCCTGTGCCAAACCAGTTTTCGAAGTAGTCGTCTCAATTTCCACCCTCAGCAGCAGTTTTTGAGAGATCAGATGTGCTCAACAACGCTCACTGTTGCCAGTCATTTTTAATGGTAACTATTCTGGTGGTTCTGTTAACTTCTCTCTTTGTGGCTTTGATTTGTGTTTTTTCAGATGACCGATAAGTTGATGACTTTTTAAATATGTTTCTTGGTACTTGGATTTTCCCATTTTTCATAGTGCAATTTAGGATTTTTGCTGACTTTCCTATTGAATTTCTTCTTCTTACCCACTTGTGCCTTGAAATTATAGGCATTCTTTATATATTCTTTATACACGCATGAGCCTTGACTACGAGCTCTTTTGAAGTTGTAAGTATCACAAATACCTTTTTCCACACTGGCTTGTTTTTCTTTCAGTTTATGGCTAGCTGAAGCTCCCAGTTTTAATGTAGTATCATTTTTTAATCTTCCTTTATGATTAGTGCTTTTAAAAAAATATTGCCCTGTCTTAAGGTCATGAAGGTAGTCCCACATGTTATTTAGAAGCTTTAATATTTCCTTTAATATGGTGATCTACAGATCACCTGGAAATAATTTTTGTGTTAGAGGTCAAGATTCATTTGTCTTTTTTTTTACTCATATAGATGTCTAATTGACCTGGCAATTAAAGGATATTCAAAAGAAATATCCATTCTTCACTGTTTGCTTTGTAATGCCATCTTTATCATAAATTTTATATATCTGCAGGTCTCTTTTGGACTCTCTATTTTGTTCTATTGGTCTACTTGTCATTCTTCTATAAGTACTGTATCTTTTGTAATAAGTGGATATTAATAAATACATAAAATACATGGTGAGATATTTTGCTAGAATGCATTGAAATATGGGCCAATCTTGGGAGAATTGGTATCACGGCAAATTGAATGTTTCAACTCCAGAACATGGCACATAATCTTCATTTTCACCTTTAAGATATTTTAAAAACTTAATTTCCTGTTTTTTCAAATAATTACAATTGATTTTTTACTTGGCCTTTCAATCCAATGGCTTGTTACATTTATAACACAGTTAGAGTAACATTAATTATTATGGTTTATATAGAGATACTTAGTTTTTCTATTGTATAATGTGGTCTGACAGTAACAGTTGATTTATTTTTATTCTTTTTAGTTTATCTCACTGCTTCAGTCAAGGGAGAAATAATAGTTTAAATTTATTTCCAAGAATCCTTATATTGCTCCCAATTTCAAGGGGACATCTTTCAATATTTTACTCTTAATATGATTTCTGTTATAGGAATCGTATATTCTTTATCTGATAACTCTTTCTAGAGGGTTATAAATTTTTAAAAACTATAAATTAGTATGAGATTCTATCAGTAATTTTGCACTTATTGAGCTGATTATGTCTTTTACTTTATTGTGTTAATGTGGCAAATTATTGATGAATTTTTAATTATTAAACTGACTTTGCATTGCTTAAATTGCTGGAATAAAACCATCATCATTTTGATGTACTTTCCTTTTTATATATTGTTGGATTTGATTCGCAATTTTTTAAAAAGATATTTTCATCTTTATGAAATAGATTGACAATATGTGATCTACTTTTGGTAAATTTTCCTTGTATTTCTGGAAAGTGCACAGTTTGCAGCTCAGACGTTGTAGGTATGCCAATTAGGTCAAGTAGCTTATATCTTTATTTTTGTTGGTGTGTTATTCTATAAATTACTGAGACAAGTGTGATAGTCTCCCAATATGAATGTGGATTTGTCTATTCTCCTTTTAGTTCTGCCAAGTTTTGCTTCATATGTTTTGAGGCCATGTTATTAGGAAGATACAAATCTAAATATTTAATTGTGGTAAATTGACCCTTTTATCCTTAGAAAGTGTAACCCTTAATTTCTAATACTTCTTGCTTTGAAGCCTCCTTCATCTGAGACTGTAGCTATGACGGCTCCCTTTTTGTTAGTGCTTTCAAGTTCTATCTTCTGTCTATATTTCAAACCCAGACATTCTCATTGTTGAATAAGTTAATATTCATTTATATTTATCCACATATTTACCCATATGTTGCTGTTCCTTCCTTCCCGTATCTCTGAGCTTCCAACTGTGATCATTTTCCTTCTTCCTGAAGAATCCTTTAATATTTCCTTTCATGGTGTTCTGCTACAGAGAAATTCTTTCAGTTTTGTTTGTTCGAAATAATTTCATTTTGCATTTATTTCTAAAGGATGCTTTGACTATTCCATTTTAATTTGGCAGTTATTTTCCTTCAGTATTTTAAAGATAATTTTCATTGCCTTTTGACTTTCATGGTTTGTATTAAGAAATCATCTGAAGTCCTATTACTTCTCCACTGAAGATAAGGCATCTTTTTCTCTCTGCTTGCTTTTAAGATTTTGTCTTAGTTTTAATGTAATGAACTTAGATTGATTATTTTTTTTGGTGTTATTCCTGCTTGAGGTTCATTGTATATCTTGAACTTGTGGAATATAAATAAATAAATACACGCACACACAGTTGTGGTAAGAACACTTAATATGAGATCTACCCTCCTAACAAAATTCTAAGTGCACAATAGATTTTTTTTTTTTGGAGATGAAGTTTCACTCTTGCCCAGGCTGGAGTGCAATGGTACGATCTCGGCTCACTGCAACCTCTGCCTTTCAGTTTCAAGCGATTCTCCTGCCAGAGCCTTCCATGTAGCTGGGATTACAGGCCTGTGCCACCACACCCGGCTAATTTTTGTATTTTTAATAAGAGACGGGGTTTCACAATGTTGGCCAGGCTGGTCTCGAACTCCTGACCTCATGATCCACCCACCTTGGCCTCCCAAAATGCTGGGATTACAGGCATGAGCCACCACGCCCGTCCTAGAATATTAACTATAGGCACAATGTTGTGCACTTGATGTAGAGCTTATTCCTCTTTCGCAACTGACACTTTATACCCATTGAACAACCTCCCATTTTTCTATCCCCTGGCAGCCACCATTCTACTCTCTGCCTCTATGAATTTGACTATTTTAGATACTTCATACAAATGGAATCACACACTATTTGTGTTTCTGTGATTGGTTAATTTCACTTTGCATAATCACCTCCAGATGTTGCATGTGGCAGGATTTTTTTCTTTCTTCTTATAAATAAGGCTGAATAATATTTCATTGTATATGTATATAATATACACACACACATATATACTATATATGTATATACACACACACATATATATGTATGCTATGTTTTCTTTATCCATTCATCTGTTGATAGACATTAGGTTGTTTCTATATGTTGGCTATTGTGAATAATGCTGCAGTGAATATGGGGGTACAGATGTCTCGTTGGCATGTGGATTGATATCTTGCTTTGGAAATTTTTGAAAAAGCTCTAGACTCTGATCCCAAATACTATTCTGTTCTATTCTCTCTCTTTTCTCCTTCTGGAACTATAATTACACTTTTCATCCTGTCTTACTTGTACCTTATGCCTGTTTTCTGCATTTTTAATCTTTAAAACAATTTTTTTAATTTTTAAAAATTAAATAAAGATGGGGGTCCTGCCATGTTGCCCAGGCTGGTCTCAAATTCCTGGGCTCAAGCATTTCTCACACCTTGGCCTTTTAAAGTGCTTGGATTATAGACGTAAGCCACCATGCCAAGCCTGGTTTTTTTTTTTTTTTTTGTTATCTTTTTGCCTCTCTGTACTTCACTGTGAATATTTTCCTCTGATGTATTTTCTAGTTCAATAATCTTCTACAGCTGTTGCTAATGTATCGGGAAGATTGTCTATCCACTGGATTCTATTTGCAGTTATTTTTTCAGTTTTAGAATATCTGCTTTATTCTTGGCCATTGTTTTCTATCTTGTCATTACATATATTGTACATATCATCAGCATTGTAATAGCTCCACCTGGTAATGCCACTTCTACACCACCTGTTTTTATTTTCTGTTTTTTCTCTTGGTTTTCTCAGTTGTAGTTTTAAAATTTAAATGTCTCATTTTTGTTTGTTGTTTGTTTTTTTAGTTTTGGAGATAATGTATGGCTCATTGCCTTGTCTTGGTTTAGGAAAAATTTCCTTCTGCTTCTGCAGGCAGTTAGGCTTAGGGCAGATCACATAAATCTATTCAGAAATTGAACTATGTCAAACCTGGTGTTTAGTCTTTGAAGCTGGTTTATCACCAGTACACTCCTCTTCCTGAGGTGTAGTTCTTTGTGCTAACAACAGACAGCTGGTGGTATTTACCAGGGCCTCTCTCCAAAGACCAGCTCTAAGGTCAGCTCTAAGAAAGCCCTAAGTTCTATGAAACTGCCAAAAACTCTGCTCAGCCTTTTAGCCTGTTTGTGCTTTGTTCTTATGTTTTGAGTCTCTCTGCCACTGATTGAAATCAACAAATTCTCAAGGGAGAAAGCAAAGCTGAATACAGATTTATCTCTGTGGTCTTCCTTTATCTCTAGAATCTTAGCCCCATGTGCCCCCATGATTTATGACAGGGAATTGGCTTCCACAACGTGAAGGCTGGCTATGCAGTCTCCACACATCCACACATGTAGTTATCTCCACATTTGATGCTGAAGCCCCAAAACCACAGCCAGCCAGCCAGCAATGGAAGACTGTGAGCAGGCTGGAAACCCAGGAGCATCAGTTAGAACTTCACAAGGACAGTCTGACATCCCTGTCCGTTCTTGTTACCTCTGACCTTAGTTATGAGGGTATACTACTGAAGCCAAAGTTTTTTATCATATAACTTTACACACTGATATGGCTTGGCTGTGTCCTCACCCAAAGTCTCATCTTGAATTATAATTCCTATAATCCCCATATGTCAAGGGAGAGACCTGGGGAGATAATTGAATCATGGGCTGGTTACCTCCATGCTGTTCTCGTGATAGGGGGTGAGTTCTCATGGGATCTGATGGTTTTCTGTGTTTGGTAGTTCCTCCTGCGATCATTCTCCCTCCTGCCACCCTGTGAAGAGGGTGCCTTGCTTCCCCTTTGCCTTCTGCCATGATTGTAAGGTTCCTGAGGCTTCCCCAGCCATGCTGAACTGTGAGTCAGTTAAACCCCATTCCTTTCTAAATTACCCAGTGTTGAGCTGTTCTTTATAGCAGTGTGTGAAGGGACTAATACATACACACATCTGGCATATGAGTCAAGAAAACTGAAGAAAGTTCCAAACTGAAGAGAGCCAAGTAGGCCCAAGTGTTGCTTTAGGCCAATGAAATGAATTGGCATATTGGCAAAAATGAGGTGAATGTCGAAATCTCAGAATGTAGAGATACCTTATGTTTTTTTTTTTCTCTCTCCTCTGCTGCTTAGGGTCTCTGAACCTCAGGGAGGGCTCAGTCTCTTTAAGTGGCTTCCACATCATTAAATCCAGTCTATCCAGGATATTCTCTTTTGATTAACACAAAATTAGCTACGTTGGGACTTTGATTACATCTGGATGCTTTCATTATAGCAGCACTTGGAATAGTGTTCAACTGAATAAATGGAAGAACAACAACTATGAAATGACTCCTCCCTCCCTTCTGTCTTCCCACTCTCTTGACAAAATCTAACTGGAAACTAGAAAGGAAATTTTTTGGGTAATGCAGTTTAGCCTACCTACGTTGACACATCTCAAGGCCATCACAACATATGCTACAATGACTGTCACACCTCATAAAACTCCCATAGATCCACCCACATTCCTCTTCCTCATACCCTTTGTCTCCAGTCTTACAATTTTTCCCCTTCTAGGTCCCTTGGCAACCAGCCAAATTGCCATTATTCATACATTTGTATGTATTCTAACCTTCAGTGACTTCTCTTTCCACACAGATTGAGTGACTAGGCAAACTGTCCAAGGTTTTGCCCACTGGGAAGTTTCACCTTCACTGATTTCTTTCAGGGCCATCTTGTTTGCTTTTCCATGCCAAGACAACCCATCTGTAATGTAAGTTTAGCATTTTTCTTCCTCGATCAGTTGGTAGAAAGGGACTACACATATATCCTAGGTGTGAGCTGAAGGAGAGGAGTTAGTGCACTAACTGTGGATGCCATCATGTTCTTACTTGTGCCCTCTGGCCCTGGTCAAGCCCAATCCCAAATTAACTACTTAAGTTTTACCATAGATTGCTGCTGGGTCCTCCTGCCTTTGGTGGGTCTGAGATAACTCAACTTATGACGGGCAGTTTTGGCTGCATGGCCCTTGATGTCCATGCATGCATAATCATCTGTTCTGTCTCTATTAGAATATTTTTTTCCCCAAAAAAGCATGACCTTTTTCGGGACCCATAGATCTACATTGATCTACCTAGGAATCTCCTGCAGATGGCATGACCTTGCTTGAGAGTCCCAGGAATCTACATTGAGACATGGAGTTAGGATGTCTGGGATGATATGCTTGAAAACTTAAATCTCCTGATCCCTCTTGTCTTGAAGAAGAGGCTCATGGTCCCATATATTCCCAATCATAGGGACCCAATAGGCATAGCTGATTTGTACAGTTTTATAATTCATTCTCTCTGGAGCTCTGCTATTCTTATAATTAAGTCTTGGACCTGTTCTTTAACTTTTTCTGCTCTCTGGCTGCAGAAAAGTTTTAAAATGCTGACAAGAAGGGCCTCTGGCTTTTACACTTCTTTCTTTTTCCCTTTCCGTCCTCTTCCCTTCCCCTTCCCCTTCTCCTTACCCTTCCCTTTCTCCTTCCCTTTCTCCTTCCCTTTCTCCTTTCCCTTCTCCTTCCCCTTCCCTTTCCCCTTCCCCTTCCCTTTCCCCTTCCCCTTCCCCCTTCCCCTTCCCCCTTCCCCTTCCCTTTCTCCTTCCCCTTCCCCTTCTCTTTCCGCTTCCCCTTCCCCTTTCTGCTTCCCCTTCCCTTTCCCTTTCCCTTTCCCCTTCCCCTTCCTTCCTTTCCTTTCGTTCTGGAGTCTCACTCTGTTTCCCAGGCTGGAGTGCAGTGGTGGGCTTTAGGCTCACTGCAACCTCCACCTCCCTGGTTCAAGAGATACCCCTGCTTCAGCCTCCCAAGTAGCTGAGATTATAGGCACATGCCACCATGCCTGGCTAATTTTTTGTCCTTTTAGTAGAGATGAAGTTTCACCATGTTGGGCAGACTGGTCTTGAACTCCTGACCTCAGGCAGTCCACCCGCCTCAGCCTCCCAAAGTGCTGGGATTACAGGTGTGAGCCACTGTGCCTGGCCTTTTACACTTCTTAAATTGGCAATCAATTGCCCTCATCCTTTCATTGTCTTTCTCCAAACTAGCCCCTAGTCACTGCCATCCCACAATCTTTATAATTATTAATATCATTTTTCCCTGTATGTCTCAGTGTTTGATACATTGTAACTACCAGGGTTTTTTCCCCTACTGGTATTCTGTCTCAGTTCATCATCAGTGAAAATGTTAACAATTACATGGCCACCTGGTGCCTGGATCTAACCATTACTGTGAAGCAAACATTGAGATGTGCAGGCAGAGAATTTACAGGTGAGTGATCTAGGGTTCAGTCTCTACAGGGGGGGTGAAGGAGCTATCACTGAGTGGAAGGAGGATTTGAACTACAGTGCAGCTGCAACAAAGGCCACCAGCCAATCCTTCCATGATGCTTTGCTGCTAGGATAGCCCTTTAGAGTTGAACCATGCTGGGGTGAGGATGCTGGTTCTTTTTGCTCCATCATCATTCGGTCACTGGATGAGGACTTCCCCAGTAAGGAGGCATAACATGGGATTAGCTGACTTTCTTAAGCTGATAACAAGTCTTTGAGAATGACAGTTGAAAGTGGAAGGCTGCCAACACTCTCAGGAGCTGGGACAATGGGTACTTCATTGGGGCAGATAGGGAGTAAGTGAACCAGGATATCCACTATACTAGTTTTCTGAAGCATTCAAGCAGTTTTAAAAAATATCTTGTCAGCCAGGCACGGTGGCTCACGCCTGTAGTCCCAGCACTTTGGGAGGCCGAGGCGGGTGGATCCTGAGGTCAGGAGATCGAGACCATCCTGGCTAAGACGGATGAAACCCTGTCTCTACTAAAAATACAAAAAAATAGCCGGGCGTGGTGGTGGGCGCCTGTAGTCCCAGCTACAGGGGAGGCTGAGGCAGGAGAATGGCATGAACCTGGGAGGTGGAGCTTGTAGTGAGCCGAGATTGTGCCACTGCACTCCAGTCTAGGGGAGACAGCGAGACAACATCTCAAAAAAAAAAAAAAAAAAATGCAGAGCAAATTCACAGGCAATATTTTGGTTGCTCTCTAAAGGCACAGCTCTTTCTCTCAAATCTCTGTGTGAGAGAAAGGTCTTCTCCTTTTACTTACGTTTGCAATTATAGTGGACATAATATTTATTATTGTTGTCTTTATTTCATATTATAAACTAACCTTATATGAGGCTATACTTTTCATCATTAAATAGTTGATATATGAATATTTTTATGACTAAATGTCTGTTGTTCTGTTGCTTTCCAAGAAAACCTGCAATGTTAAAGAATATATTTTACCACACCTTTAACAAGGTTAAAGTTAAAATGAAAATTTCTTTTGCTAATTTAGTAAGATAAAGTGATATACCTCACTGTTGAGATCTGTATACCTTAATGATTATTAAGGATAAGATCATTTCATGTTTTCTCAACAGCTTTTATAATCTATTTTTTTTAGTGAATGGAGAAAGCACTGAAGTTTTTGAAAAAAATTATTGGGAATTATATCTAAACCATTGACAAAAGTCTTATGTTTGAGAATTTAATTTTTATGGTTCTTAAGCATTTTATTAGGGAAAAAGGAATGTGATTTACATATTTTTATTAAATCACTAAATGTAAAAGGAATGACTTCAGATACTTAGAAAACAATCCGTGAAATTAGGCACATTTTCCAGAGTTGTATTTATATTATGGAAATCAAGAAATAAATCAATAGTTTCTAGATTTCCAAATGGCAATTTAGATCAAGACAGGGTTCATTAAGTTGGTTTTATATTCAAGAAGACAAAAACAAAAGTCCCTTTGGTGGCTGCATTCATACAAACAAAATTATATAAAAATAAGTGAAAAATCAAATAGCCTCCTTACCTCGAATAGGATGCAGAAAAATGTTCTAGAATGCTCTACTCACTGTGATGTTACTTTGATATTATTAGACACAGTTAATGGCACAAATAAAAATGGTAGGGGATAAAAGAATCAGTTTTCATGTGGGCAAATATATCAAACTCTTTTGCCATTCTTCTCTACACTCCTCCTCAAAGTAGCCAGAACATTATGATAGCATTACAATTTAGCTTCCTAGTGTTACACACTAAAAAAAATCCATAGCTCTCTTCCTGTCTTTTTTTTTCTTTGAATCATATATAATTGTAGCTCCCATACTATATATTTTTTTAGTTTAAGATGATTTTCAGGCCAGGCACAGCGTCCTATGCCTATAATCCCAGCACTTTGGGAGGCTGAGGAGGGGAGATCACTTGAGGCCAGGAGTACGAGACCAGCCTGGCCAACATAGTGAAACACCGTCTCTACCAAAAAATACAAAAAGTTAGGTGTAGTGGTACGCACCTGTAATCCCAGTACTCGGGAAGCTGAGGTACGAGCATTGCTTGAACCCAGGAGGCAGAGGTTGCAGTGAGCCGAGATTGTGCCACTGCGCTCCAGTCTGGGCGACAGAGTGAGCCTCTGTTTAAAAAAAAAAAAAAAAAAAAAAAAAGTGCTTTTCAGTCACCCATTAATTCCATTTTCTACAATATGGATAATGACAAATGTTTTTATTTATTTTCAATGTTGCCCAATATTTAACTCTTTTTGTTGTAATATAATTAAACCCAAATTTCTAAGATAAAAAGCCAATAATAAATACTGGTGCATGTAGCTGGGAAGGGCATTGAGAAACAAAAGACCATTCACACCAGTTCACATCTAGCTTTGCTACCAGATCAGTTCTGACACAAATTTACAAAAACTTTTGGGGGTTTAGTGGTTTTCTGAATTTTGGATAAGGGTTAATGGATCTGTAATATGGTAAGTGTAATCTTTGATGCTTGTATTCTTATTCTGAAGAGAGACCTCAAATGGAGTCATCTTTGTTCAGAAGAAATACTAAAAACATAGGGTTGGAAGGATGCTGGATTATCAATTATATTCAAATTTGTGGTCCCTTTATTTTCATTCAATATACATTTCCCCAGGTCCTAGGTCTGTTCACAAAAGCAAATACATAAATCCAGTCCTCAGGTAGCTCAGGCCCCCTAGTATGGGAGAAGCAGAGATAACAAAAAAGAAAGAGAAAATAAGAGCTATATGGGTATGACGGGAGGAGAAGACACTTCATTTCTGACCATAAAGTAGTGAGAACTGTGTCACTGGAGAAAATATGCAACACAACTGTTTGGAAGAATTCAACAGATGTGCAGGGAGGGTCCTGGAGAAAGTGAAAACACAAAGTGCTCCCTGTCCCTGGGGATACCTTCCAAACTGTGATTCACAGAAGTGAAATCCAAAGAGAGAGTAGTTTCTTGCCTGGTGGATGAAACCATTTGAAGGCTGGGGCTGCTGAGAGACCTGTGATTTGTGGGCGGGGTTTGGGAGAGGAGCCTGGGAGCATCTTGCTTTTCCCTGGAGGTGGTCAGGAGGGCTGCAATAGGAGATAACACCTTTTCTGCCCAGTTAAGCTCTTTATGTGCTTCCCAAAATGCTTAGGATTTGTCCTTTAGTAAATATTTAAGTTCCCTGGGGGTGGTTACAGCAGGTGATTCTGGTGGCAAGCCCCTACACAGGTCAGGAACTCTCATGTGTGGAAGAACTGCTCAATTACATTTTCTGTAATCTCTGATTTCATTCCACATATATTTGGCTACATTTCCTAGGAAAAAAGCTCAATTAAAAACTACTGATAGCATAATGATTTGAGGAATGAAAGTATTTCATGACATCAAACTGATTTTTGAAGGTTTTTATTGAAATATGTAATTTCAGTAAAAGCTTATAAAAACTCAGTAAATTAAACTCAAAACTATCCAATACTAAAATAATGAAAAATAATTTTTATCTCCATTATTACTTGTTGGCTCTGCAGTCTTTCTCAGCATCTCATTCATCCATGCACTATTTTATAGAAATTCAAAAGGCTATTTCCCAGGTAGCAAATTATACCTCTCAGAAATCAATTACATTTCAGGACAATGCTAACACTACACATCTTTTTATTAGGAAATAAAACCACAGGATATGGATAGTAATAAAATGAGAATTATTTTACTGGCAATGTCCATAAAAGTATCCAATAATCTCAAAATCAAAGAGAAAAAACATATCCAAGATCTGCTACTGAACAATATTAGCAGTATTATTTCCCCCAGGTTCACATTAATTTCTTCTCTCCACTTTTGATATATTGCACACATTTTAAAAAACCATGTGTTATTTGCTTACTCCCCAGTTATGAAATGCTGGGAAACTTTTTCACATTATGTTACACTTGGTATCTTAACTCTACTCCCTTTTAATTGATTAACGAGGGAGGAGTGAAGGAAACAATGTTAGAGAAAGATTTCATTAGGTATAAATTGCAAGACATTTGTTCGAATGAACATAATATCTCAGCTCTATTTTGATGGGCCTTGGGGGAATGCTTTAAGTATTACTGTAAGTACCAAACCAAGCACTGAACAATTTAATGATGCCATTAGAGTATGGCCTTGTATCTGGTTTTTGCTTCAAAATGTTCCTGGGGAAAACTTCACTGACTGGTAATAGGGACCAAAATAATGCTTTCAAGTATGTGTTACCAACAAATACATCAAATGGGAGTTATTTAAGATAAACAAACAAAAAGTTTCTTTTTTTAGGCTTAAGTGATTCTGATATACCTTTTCCATAAAAAATAAAATCTGGATATCTCAAAGCTATATTTATCAAGCAAAGCCAGATTCTCCAACCAAATGACTTAGGACTTGTGAAAGTATTAGCTAGCAACCAAGATTTCTTCAGTTATTTTTAACTACCAATAATTCTGCTGCCTGTTATGCAAACACTAATTTTTATAAAGCTTTAAAACATTAAAAAAGGATAAAGAATAATATACAATCATCTACTTTTTCTCCATCTAGAATTGGCAAATGTTAATATTTTGTCATAATTTGCTTTAAGTATTTTTTTTCTTAAATAAAACATGATAGATTTAGCTAAACCACCCATAATTCTGATCTTGGAGTAAGTTCTATGATGTTACTATTCCAAAATACATACTCGTGTATAATCTATATTGTGCTTTATGTATGTGGGTGTGTATGTATATATCATACATATTTTGTATTAGCTTTTTATAATCCATCATTAAGATCAATCCATGTTTGTATATATACAAATTAGCTCATTCGTTTTCATTCCTATGTAATATTTCATCATAAAAATGCTGCAGTTTTTTCATTTTTATGCTTACAAAAATTTCCCCCATTTTTTTTCTTTTTTGTTCTTTTGCTATTAAAAATGCTGCAATAAACATATTGAATATGTCTCCTTGTGCACATGTTCGAGCTTTTCTGGGGTGGGGCTTAGAAAAAGAGGTTATATACCTGGAAATTAAATAGCAGGGGTTCCAGGTTATGAGTATTCACAGCAGTATTTGATTCTGCTTAATTGCCCTCTGAAGAGGCTGTACCTGTTTCTGTTCCCACGTGCAGTTTGTGAGAATTCCTTTTCCTCATATCGTCACTAACATTTTACACTGTCAGACTTAAATATTTGACTTGGTGGGTAGAAAACGGTATCTCATGTTTTCAGTCAGCAATTCCTTGACTATTGTTGACATTAAGCAACTTTTTGAATATTTACTTTCCATTAGTGTTTCCTCTTCTGCCAATTGTCTTTTCCTATTTTACCCTATTTTCACCATTAGATTAATGTATTTTAATTATTGATTTCCAAGAATTCCAATTATGTTCTGGGTTATTTTTATTTGTCTTTTCTTGATCTTTATTTTTTATTTATTTATTTGTTTTGAGACGGAGTCTTGCTCTGTCGCCCAGGCTGGAGTGCAGTGGCACGATCTCGGCTCACTGCAAGCTCTGCCTCCCGGGTTCACGCCATTCTCCTGCCTCAGCCTCCCGAGTAGCTGGGACTACAGGCGCCCGCCACCACGCCCAGCTAATTTTTTTGTATTTTTTGTAGAGACGGGGTTTCACCGTGTTAACCAGGATGGTCTCCATTTCCTGACCTCGTGATCCGCTGGCCTCGGCCTCCCAAA
This sequence comes from Homo sapiens, assembly GCF_000001405.40. Taxonomy (NCBI): domain Eukaryota; kingdom Metazoa; phylum Chordata; class Mammalia; order Primates; family Hominidae; genus Homo; species Homo sapiens. The sequence continues at coordinate 144,943,982 of NC_000007.14, forward strand.
GTGCTGGGATTAGAGGCGTCAGCCACCGTGCCCGGCCTTTTCTTGATCTTTAATATTGGTTATAGTTTCTTTAACCATATGGAAGTTTTGAGTTTTGATACATGAAACCCGTATCTTTGCTATCTGTCTTTTGATTTGGTTGGTTTAACATTTTTTTGTACTTTGAGGTGTAAAATCCCCTCTTTGTTTTCATTTCTAAAAATTGTCTTAGGTTTTCATACCCCTTTATTTTTTCATGTGAATTTTAAGAGAAATGTTTGTTAATTAAATTGAAATTGTAGGTTAATTTGAAAAGAATGTATTCATCGTTGTCTTCTCCTTCATAAACATCGTATATGCTTTCATGTATTCATAAATAATTTATATCCTGGCTCAGTTAGTCCAGGCTGCTATAACAGAATATCTCAGACTAGGCGGCTTAAACAAAAACTCACAGTTCTGGAGGGTTAAGAAATCCAAAATCAAAGTGCTGGAAGATTTGGTGTCTGGTGAGGGCTCACAAGCTCTCTGGGGTCCCTTTTATAAGGGCGCTAATCTTATTCAAGAAACCCCCACCCTCATGACCTAATCACCCCCCAAAAGCCCCACCTCCTAATACCATCACATTGCAGGTAGGATTTCAGCACAGGCCAGGAGCTGTTCATTAACAGGCTTCAGGGAGATGTCCTGTATATGCAGAGCATAGGACCTGGCTAAGAACAAACTGGAATCCCTACCCAGGTGTCTAGGGCTCCTCCTCTCCTGTTTCCTACCCACCGATTCCAGCTCCCTCAGCAGCCTAACTGCCAAATACTTTACTCAGCCCAACAAAACCACTGCATTCCATTTGAGTTCCACTTCCCTATGTTACAGTTTGGAAAGTAGAGCTCACTTTATTTTTCTCTTTCTCTTAAGGACCATTCCCTGCACACTTGTGGTCCAATTATTGGGAATAGTTGTGTTGCCTGTCCAGTGTGATAGTTGCCTATCAGTGATAGGGCAAGACCAATACTTACTACAATTTCAGGGTCCCTAAATATTCATATATCTATTTCCTTTCTTCTTTTTGTATTAACTCATATTTCCTGTAGAATGCTGACTAGAAGTACTAATAGCAGATTTTCCTGTCTTGCTTTTAATATTAATGATAATGTTTTCTGAAGTTTCACCAGTAAGTATAATATTCATTTTAGGGTTTTGTGAGATTTACTTTATCATGTAAAGTAACTCCCCTTATATATGCAGTTTAGTTAGCATTTTAAAAATCATAAGCGGATACTGATTCCTTATAAATTTTTTTTTCTGTTTAGGTGGTTATATGTTTTTTTTCCATGAATCTTTAATGTGTTGGAAAACATTATAATTTTTAATGTTGAATCATTTTTGCATTCCTTTGGGGTAAATTCTACTTCATCATGATATATTACATTTTTATATATACCTTTGGATTTAAGTTACTGATTAAAACTTTATTAGAATTTTTTTCTGTAATTATAAATAAAATTGGTTTATAATTTTCTCATTCTGTAGTGGTTTTGTTAGGTTTTGGTATCATGTTAATAAAAGTTTCATAAAGCGAAATGGATAACTTTTTTCTTTTCTGAAGTGTTCAAATAATAGAAATATGGTAAAACTTACCTATGAAACCATCTGAACTAAGCAGAAATAAGTTCAGTGGTTCTGTGGTTTGTGAACTTTCTATATCTTTGTATTTCTGAAATATCTTTTTATCCTTTCCTTAAAATGACAATTTGGCTGTTTAAAAATTTTAGATTAAAAATTATTTAACGTCAGTACTTTGAAAATATTCCTTCACTGTCTTCTGATTTTGATTTTTACTGATGTGGTGTCTGCAACAGTCTGTTTTTAGTTCTTTGATAGGAAATCTCCCTTTTGTCTTTAGTGGCTTTCAATATGTTTTGTTTCATCCTTGACAATCTATAATTTAACTATATTATGCATCTAGGTATAGATCTTGGATCAAAGGCTTATTTTATTTTTTTGAGACGGAGTCTCACTCTGTCACCCAGACTGGAGTGCAGTGGCGTGATCTTGGCTTACTGCAACCTCCGCCTCCCGGGTTCAAGCAATTCTCCTGCCTCAGCCTCCGGAGTAGCTGGGATTACAGGTGCGAGCCACCATTCCCCACTAATTTTTGTATTTTTAGTAGAGACAGGTTTCACCATGTTGGTCAGGCTGGTCTTGAACTCCTGACCTCGTGATCCACCCACCTCAGCCTCCCAAAGTGCTGGGATTACAGGTGTGAGCCACTGTGCCCAGTCAAGGGCTTATCTTTTAGCTAATTTTTGGAAGATTGTTAGCCATTATCACTTTACATATTTTCTCATATATTTTCAGTCATATATTTTCTCCTCTCTTCTGGAATTCTCCTTAGATAAATGTTGGAATTTCTAATTTTCATTGTTCTTCAAGTGTTGACTTATCTTTCAAAGTGTCTTAATTTCTCTGTGCTATATTTAGGGAGATGTCTTTTTTTCTTTTTCCTCCAACACACTAATTCTCTTTTTGCTTGTGTCTATTATACTCTTTACTGAGTATTTTACTCTGATTTCATTGACTTTCTTTTTCATACCTACAATTTCTATTTTGACATTTCCTCTTTTTCTTATTTGATATTTTTTTTTGTTCCTGTTAAAATATTCTATTTCCTTTGGTGTATTAGTTCGTTTTTACACTGCTAATAAAGACACACCTGAGACTGGGCAATTTTCAAAGAAAAAAAGTTTAATGGAGAACTCACAGTTCCACATGGTTGGGAAGCCTCACAATCATGGCAGAAGGCAAGGAGGAACAAGTCATGTCTTACATGGATGGCAACAGGCAAAGAGAGAGCTTGTGCAGAGAAACTCTCATTTTTAAAACCATCAGATTTCATGAGACCCATTCACTATCATGAGAACAGCATGTAAAGACCCACCCCCATGATTCAATCATCTCCCACCAGGTCCCTCCCACAACACGTGGAAATTATCAGAGCTACAAGATGGGATTTGGGTGGGGACACAGAGCCATACCATATCACTTGGTAATTCTTTGAACACTTTAAACAATGCTATTATAAAGTTGTGGGTTTTTTTTTTTCCAGTTTGCTTTATTCTCTGGTTTCTGCTCTGTGAACTTTCCTATTTGTTGACTTTTTGCACTGCCTCATATGGCTTTGAACTTCCTCAAATATTTTGTAATCCTTGTCCACACTGCTTATCTGAGACAATAATCTTCAAATGTTCACAAGAGAGGACCATCATAAAGCTTCACCAAGGGATTGGCTCTCATGTAGTGTCTCTCCCTCAAACTAATTTTTACATTAAGTTTTGGGCTTATGTACTCTATGTAGAGTGATTGAATTCAGATCATATATACATGTGTAGCAAAAACTTAGTATTTCAATTTTTTTTTTGAGACAGGGTCTTGCTGTGTTGCCCAGGATGGAGTGCAGTGGTGTGGTCATAGCTCATTTCAACCTTCACCTCCTCGGCTCAAGTGATCCTCTCATCTCAGCCTCCTGAGTAGTTGGGACTACAGGCATGCACCACCACACCCAGCTAATTTTTATTTTTTAAAGTATTTTGTAGACATAGGGCCTCATTATATTGCCCAGCTGATCTCAAACTCCTGGGCTCAAGTGGTCCGCCTGCCTTGGCCTCCCAAGTGCTGGGATTACAGACATGAGCCACTCTGCCTAGCCTCAATTTTTTCTCCCATATATATTTTAAAAATTATGTTTCAAGACCTAAGTCTATTGGCTTACTTACAGCCATGACCCAGGTAAGCAAAGGTTTATATTTAAGAAGGGCAACATCTTCCTGGATCTCAACCAAGTTGATAAAGTCTATAAACAATACAGGCCTCTCCTTTCTGTTCTATTACCTAATTTGCTATAACATTCCCTCAAATAACACCAACTATTCATTATCCCTAACTGCCTAGCTCAGTAACTTGAATCTAGTAGGTCTTCAAGTAGTAGTTGTCATTTTAAATCTGTTTTGCTTTAAAGATTGTTTTATTTTATCTACTGACAAAGTAATGTGTATTCATTAAAAATTTAACATATAGAAAAGAGCAAACAAACAAGAAAGAAAATAAAAATAACTTCTAATCCTATTTTCCAGAGATAACATTTTTGGGTATGTATTTCAATTTAGTAATCTACTCAGCAGTAGTTATTGTGTGCCTGCTATTTTTCAACATAATTCTATAAAATGAATTTCCCTAAGTGCCCACATACTTTTTAAATGCATATATATCTTTTTATTTTTAACATAATGAGGCTATTTATTTTTTCAAAAGGAACAAACTAAATGATATCCAGTTGGAAGTGTGGCATGTAACTTATAGGTTGTAATGAGGCATACTTATATTTTTTCTTGGTGATATTCTCTTATACGTAATGACATTTTGACTTAGAAATTTTGCTTGTATTCTATTTTAATAGCTAGTCATAGAACTACATGTTTTTATTTTGTCATTGATGTATAAAACTCCTGGGTACAATCAATATTTTTCTGCAACTAATTGTACTTTTAGTTTTCCATTTATACTCTTTTAAAAACTGCTGTTTAATGATCCCACATGGAACATCACTCCATTGTTGGGCTTATTATGCCATCTCTTTATTGCCAACAAGTCCAATCTCAGTCCAGTGTTTTGGTATGATTTATAGATTGATTACACATAACTAACTCTCCCTCCTGCAGTACATGTGGCACTTAAGTATGTCATTGTATTAGTTTGACTAAACATCATAGAGTAAATCTTATTAATGCATTATATGTCATGTCTAGGGAGAAGAAATTAATGTGAGCCCATGGTATAACTAAGCTTGTTTTGTTCCATTTAAATTATGATTTTAAATATCCAAGGGTAGGCCAGGTGCAGTGGCTCACACCTGTAATCTCAGCACTGTGGGAGGCCGAGGCAGGTGGATCACCTGAGGTCAAGAGTTGGAGACTAGCCTGGCCAACATGGTGAAACCCCATGTCTACTAAAAATACAAAAAATTAGATGGGTGTGGTGGTGGGTGCCTGTAATCCCAGCTACCTGGGAGGCTGAGGCAGGAGAATCCCTTGAACCTGAGAGGCTGAGGTTGCAGTGAGCTGAGATCGTGCCACTGCACTCCAGCCTGGGCAACACAAGTGAAACTCCATCTCAAAAAAAAAAAAAAAAATCAAGACTATAGAGGACACAAATTCTTTAAGAAATTAATTTTATTACAATTACTTAGAGGCTGAGTGTTTAGATCTCCTATAAGGAAAACGTCTTTTCCATAGAGACAAATTATTCATGAAGAAGATGAATGATAACTAAAGCATCAAGACTTGGTTTTCAAAGACTTTTGTCTATATCTTCTTAAAAAGAATGAATTTGAGTAATACATGCACATGTTCTCATTACAAACTAAAAGTAAATCGAGTTCATCTTCCTTTTCACAGTATATGGCTGGCAAGAGTTTGGTTTACATCTTTCCAGATCATCTTCTAGGCATCACATGTGTATATACAAAAGGTTTTAGAACTTTTTCTATGTTAGTATGTATTTGTTTGCCAAGGAAATTTGTAAATGATTTTGAGAGTGTCATTGGACATTGTTCAGGGAAGGAAGAGAAAGTCATGATCTTTTCTCAATTTTTCTGTTTTGCCTTTGAAAAGCAGTAGGAAGAAATCACAAGAAAATTCTCCATGACCCAAATACGCAGACTGTATTCTCCTGAGGTTAACAAAAGCAGGTATTACCTCTAGCTTAGGTGATTAGCCTTGCTTACAGGTAACCATGTCATAGAGTTCTGGCCAGTGAGGAATGTGGTCAAGAAGATGTTTACAGGCACCACCTTTCCCATGTCCAGCGTTATCTTTTGCTTGAAAGGGATGTGAGGGCTGCAGCTACAGTGTAGCAGTGATCATATGGCCAAGAAAGGCCAAGAAAATAATGGACACATTGCACCTGCTATCACAGAGCCACTGAACCAAGGTCAGCAGTCTCTTTATATATATATATGTATATGTATATATATACACACACATATACATATGTATATATGTGTATATATATGTATATATGTGTATACGTATGTATATGTGTATGTATATACATATATACGTATATATGTGTATATATGTATGTATATACGTATATATGTATATATGTGTATATATGTATGTGTATATATGTGTATATATATGTGTATATAGAGAGATATTTTCCATATATATGTACACATATATATATATATATATATATATACACACACACACATATTTTAAAACCCTCCTTGATTTAAAAAAAATTAAAAAAACCTCTGCAGCCCAAAGCATTCCTGACTATTAGCATAAATTTCCAGTGATGGGTTTTCAGGGTCAATGAAATAAGAGGGTTTTATGTCCCAGGGGAAAGAACACTATCTGACCCAGTGAAACTACCTCACCACGGCATGGTGGACCAACACTTCCACCTTGTATTTCCTCTGGAAAATAGAAGAGATTTTAATTTTTTTTCCTGTTCTGTCTTTTCTACATCTTAAATTTTGAATGAATACATATTGCTTTGTCATTTTTTAAAATACGTGATAAAACAATCTGTAAAACAAAATGGATTAAAATGGCAAATACTGCTTGAAGACATACTAGATTTAAGTTACTGGGCTGTTAGGAATAACTACACTTCTACCTTGATCCTGCTGATAGACATCCTGGTGAGGTAGCAGTAGAGGAAAAGAGACTCACAGAATAGGCAGGCTCCACGGTCACAGAAGTGGCTGTCTGTCTTTTCAGAGAACAGTGCTGAGGGAAGTGATTAGGCAATTGGCAATCCCTGATTTCTGTGGCTCTGATTCCTTGGGTACTTGCTAGTACAGCATAGCAGGGAGTATACTGGTCTAGATATAGAAAACAATTGGGATCTTGTCCTAACCGTGTATATAGTTTTGTCTGACACTTCAGAATAAAACTGTATTTGAAATCAAGATGTGGATTTCTTTACTTTTTTTCACTAAAAAAAATTTTTTTTTTTGAGAACTAAGTATATATTAGTTTAACTCCCTACTGTGATAAAAATCAAACTCACTTTCTTTGAAGGGTACAAGTAAATGGTATCCAGTTAGAAGTGTGCAATGTAACTGACAGGCTCTAATGAGGCATACTTATTTTTTCATTGGTGATATTACCTTAAGCATAATGACATTTTTACTGATAAATTTTGAGGTAGAACTACAGTTCCACAATTAGTTATTAAAATGTTTTTATTCTTCACTTCTTTATGGGGACAATCATTATTTTTCTACAACTAATTGTACTTTTAGCTTTCCATTTATACTCTTTTAAAAACTCTCAAACTCAGTTTCATCATCCCTATAAAATGAAGATGGCGATCATCTGCTCTTCCCACTTCACAGTGTTGGGATCCTCAAATGAAATACCATGCAAAAAAGTGCTTTGGAAATACAAGGTACGATACAGTGGTTGCATGTGGTTGTGAAGTGAGGGTGATTCTACAGGCACAATCTGCCTCATGGTATTGTAGGAAATGAGATAATATATGCAAACGTGGTTTGGAAATCAGAGAGGACTGCGTAATTGGAGAGCATCATTGTATCACTCAGAAGGCTGGTCTTGGAGGAGCTGTTTTGGGTGGAACATCTTGGCGTCACAATGCAGTACTTGAGCACAGAAAGGTATTTCATATTGGTGTTAGGAAGGGAGAGATGCATTATGAAGCACCTACTATATGTGTAGTTCTATAATGAGCAAGTTTATTTCCATTACATATATATTTTGAAGGCTAGTTTTTTAGCGCAGTTTTAGATTCAGAGATTTCCCATATATGCTACACAGGCATAGCCTTCTTCATGATCAATATCCTCCACCAGAGTCCTACATTCGTTACAATTGATGAATCTACATTGACACACCCTAATCACCCAAAGCCTATAGTTTATGGATTTAGACATACGTATAATGATATATATCTATCATTATAATATCATATAGAATATTTTCACTGCTCTAAAAATAGGCATTGCCTATTCATTTCCCCCCTTTATATTATTTCATATGAACTTCTATCCCATAAAATAATAATCTCCATTTTATATCTAAGCAATATTATATTACTTGTTCAAGTGAGAAATCTGGAATTTAAACAAATGTCTGCTTGACTCTAAAATCGATCTCTCTATGGCTCTCTACTTAAGTAGTAGATGGTTTGAGTTTGAAGTGATGGAAGATACAAGTTCTTAGAGTCCTGGATTAATGCTAACCTCAAATAGTTGTATTATACTAGACAAGTCTTTTACTTTCTGTGAAGTTTTCTTCATCTGGAAATGGAGGTTTTAAAATGGCAACTATTTTACTAAGGGAATTTTCAACTTCCAAATTGTGATGAGGCCAATCCCCTAGGGGCATGGAGGAGTAACAAGAGGAAAAGAACTGAATGCCAGAATTGCTCATGGAAAAGAGCAGTGCCACCATCCTAGACTAGCTGGGTTGCTATAATAAAGATAAATAAGTGTTTTCTAGGCCATTGTATTTTGGGTCTTTTTGTTAAAGAAACTTAACCTTTTCCTAAATAAAGGATATTTGGGATATCCTTATCACCAAGAAGACAGCCAAACCATTCATGAGGGATCTGCCCCCATGATCCCAATACTTCCCACCAGGCCCTACCTCCAACATTGGGATTGCATTTCAACAGAGATTTGGGCAGAGATAAATAACTATATCAGTCTGCCTCTGGCCTCTCCCAAATCTCATGTTCTTCTCACATTGCAAACTACAATCATGCCTTCTCAACAGTCTCACAAAATCTTCATTCATTTCAGTGTTAGCTCAAAAGTCCAAAGTCTCAACTGAGATGAGGCATGTCCCTTCCACCTATGAGCCTGTAAAATGAAAAACAAGTTATTTACTTCCAACATACAGTGGAGGTATAGGCATTGGGTAAACGTTTCCATTCCAAAAGGGAATAATCAGCTAAAAGAAAGGGGATATCAGCCCCATTCAAGTTTGAAACCCAGCAGGGCAGTCCTTAAATCTTAAAGCTCCAAAATAATCGCCTTTGACTTCATGTCTCACATTCAGAGCACACTGGTGCAATGCGTGGGCTCCCAAGGTTTTGGGCAGCTGCATCTCTGTGGCTTTGTAGGGTTGGCCTCCCAGGCTGCTCTCATGTGCTGGAGTTGAATGCCTGTGGGTTTTTTGGGAGCAGGATGCAAGCGGCTAATGGAACTGTCATTCTAGGGTCTGAAGGATGGTAGCCCCCTTTCTGAAGCTCCCCCAGGCAGTGCCTCAGGGAGGTCTCTGTATGGGTCTTCCAGCCCAACATTTCTCCTCCATGCTACCCTAGAAGAGGTTCTCTGAAAGGGCTCCACCCCTGCAGCAGGCTTCTTCCTGGACACCCAGGCTTTTCCACACATCCTCTGAAATCTAGGTGGTAGCTCCCAAGCAGCCTTCACTTTTGCATTCTGTGTGCCTGCTGGCTTAACACCATGTGGAAGCTGCCAAAGCTTATGGCTTGCACCCTCTGACACAGAAGCTTGGGCTCTATCTGGAATCCTGTGGGCCAAGGCTGGAACCAGAGCAGCAGAGATGCAAGAAGCAGTGTCCTGGGGTCCTGAAGCTGCACAGGGCAGCAGGGCCCTTGGCTTTTGCCCATGAAACCATTCTTCTTTCCTAGACCTCTGGGCCTCTGTTGGGAGGGGTTACCATGAAGATTTCAGAAATGCTTTAGAGGCCTTTTCCTCATTGTCTTGTATATTAGCACTTGGTTCCCTTTTAGTTATGAAAATTTCTCTGGCAATTGGTTGCTCCACAGCCTACTTGAATTTCTCTCTTTTAAAAGCTTTTTCTTTCTTTACCATATGGCCTAGCTGCCAATTTTACAAACCTTTATCATCTTCTTTCTATTTAAATACAAACTCCAACCTTAAGTCATTTCTTTGCTCCCACATCTCAGTGTAGGTTGTTAGAAGCAGCCAAGGCACATCTTGAACACTTGGCTGCTTGAAAATTTCTTCTACCAGGTACCCCAGATCATCACTCTCAAGTTCAAACTTCCATAGATTCCTAGGGCATGGACACAACATAGCCAAGTTCTTTATTGAGGCATAACATGGGTGACCTTTGCTCCAATACACGGTAAGTTCCTCATTTCCATCTGAGACCTCATCAGCCTGGATTTCACTGTCTATATCACTATCAGCATTTTGGTTGCAACCACTTAACTGGTCTCTAAGAAGTTCCAAATTTTCCCTCATCTTTCTGTCTTCTGAATTCTCCAGACTCTTCCGACTTTTGCCTATTACCCTACTCTTTGTATCAATTTTCTATATTAGGCCATTCTTGCCTTGCTATAAAGAAATACCTGAGACTGGGTAATTTGTAAAGAAAAGAGGTTTAATTGGCTTCTGGTCCTGCAGGCTGTTCAGGAGGCATAGCTCCAGCATCTGCTTCTGAGGAGGCCTCGGGAAGCTTTCAGTCATGGTGGAAAGCAAAGCAGGAGCAGGCACTTCACATAGTGAAAGCAGGAGTGACAAAGTGGGGTAGGGGAAGTGCCCCGCACTTTTACGTGACCATGTCTCACATGAATTCAGAGTGAGAGCTCAATTATCACCAATGGGATGGCCCAAGCCGTTCATGAGGGATCTGCCCCCATTATCCGGACACCTCCCATCAGGCCCCATCTCTGGCATGGGGATTACAATTCAACATGATATTTGGTGGGGACAAATATCCAAACTATATCACCCCTAAAATGCAAAATATCATATCGAACTGGGAAAAGGCTTCTGAAATTAATACTAAGAATATAAAACTTTAAAGCTGTTTCTTTCTGTTTTAATTCATGTCCTGTGATCAGGTCAGGTACTAGTGTACAAGTATATATAATAAAACTACCTGAGATGGTTTATTGATATTAATCTTGCCATCACATATCACTTAGGCCTGATTTCTGTCTTTATATCTGAGTTAATGCCAATAGATTCTAAACTCCAAATTTAGACGTTTATTGGCATATTTGAAATGGAAAGTGTCTCAATATCCAGAACGTGTAAGAATACCAGGTTTTGGGGAAAACCACTGCTTCCTGGGAGGAGCTTTTCACCGTATGAGATGTAGTATGAGTTCATCTGTAAACTAATTGAGGTCTGTGAATTTCAGGTATTCATGGGGGGAGGTAACCCAATTGTATTGATAACTCTAAAGTTTAACTTCCATGTGGATCTTGAAAAGCAGCTCTCTAATGGTCTGAATACCTCAGCTTCTCAGCACATCTCATCTAGGTTAGCCAGATATTCCAGTTTATTAGGTATGGATGGGGCCTGGGAGTCTGTAGTATTTGAAACCTGCTAAATGATTCTGTTGTGAAGTCAATATTGAGAATTACTTAATTTGATGAAGGGAAATCTCTGCAGATTAGTTTTGCATGTCAGTTATTTTTTTAGGGAGGTTCCATATAAAAGATTCCCTTATTTTTCGTCAACATTTTCTGTATACTTAGCATGGTTGTTGTCTTCTACTGCTTATCAGCTCTTATTATGTGTCATGTCTTAATTTACATTATTTTGTTTAATTCTCATGAAAATACACTTTATGCATATAGAAACTGGGGCTTAGTGAAAGTAAACAACTTGGTCAAGATAACTTAGTAACCAGTAGTGATGAGTCAAACATAGGTCAGCCTGAATCCAGTCTCTATATTATCAATCATTACTTTTAATTCTCTCATAGTTTTAAAAGCAGACTGAAAATAAGAGAATTTTGTGACTCCCCTTGATATAGTTTGGCTGTGTCCCCACCCAAATCTCACCTTGAATTGTAATAACCACCCCTCATCCCCTGCCCTGTGTCAAGGGCAGGGCCAGGTGGAGATTGTTGAATCATGGGGGTGGTTTCCCCCATACTGGTCTGGTGGTAGTGAATAAGTCTCATGAGATCTGATGGTTTTATAAATTGGAGTTCCCCCTGCACATGCTCTCTTGCCTGCTGCCATGTAAGAAGGGCCTTTGCTCCTCCTTCACTTTCCACCATGATTGTGGGGCCTCCCTAGCACTGTGGAATTGTGAGTGCATTAAACCTCTTTCCCAGCCTTGGGTATGTCTTTGTTAGCAGCCTGAGAATGGACTAATACCACCACCCCTGTCCCCTCCATCTATGCAGCAGAATGATGTTGGCCAAAAACAGGCTGTGCTCAGTTAACTCAGCTGTGTATGCTTAAAGGTATTTGGTAACAAGGCACATTAGTAAGGTGTATATTTTAAGCTGAATGTATGAAGAGCTACTTTTGCTTTATGTGCTTATGTTTTTTCACCTGTATACTGATCTCTCATCACCTGTTAAGTACTTTTTGTGTCATACTGAATAAAATAGTTCTGAAAATGTTGGAATAGCTTATTAAAGGAATGTCTTTAAGACAAAATGTCAAAGCTTAAAGGAAACCTAGAGGTCATCTTAAGTCAAGTTCTTCATATTGCAGGGAAAGATAATGAAGACCAGCGAGGCTAAGAGAGTTGCTCAGGTCACAAACCTCTGGAGGGCTGAGCTGAGACCTAAACCATGTGCTCTGAGCTCTGTCCAGGCTTCATTCTACCACAATCACAGTTGTATTGCTTCAGTAGAAGAGAGGAAGAGCCCTGGGCTTGATGCCATAGCCACAAACAAAGTTCCAAGTCCTTGGATGATTGCACTAAAGGTAGAGGAGCTGCCGTGATGGATCTGAGTAGAAGAATAGGGATGGACTCTAAGGAGTAAATTTACTCTACTTACTAGGAGAGGGTAACTACTACTCTCTGAACAAGTGCGTTACAAGAAATTTTTTTTTTCTAGTGTGATATACAAAGACTTAAGTACAAAATTAAATCGTTGGATTCTATCTTTTAGTGCATAATTTCTAATACCTTTTCCTAAAGCATCCTGAGTTTTGAAGATTCTTTTTTAATTATTTTTTTTTGATTAAACAAACAAAAATCTTGGGTATTGCCGTTGTTCAATAACGTACTAACTACACAGCCTGCTTTTTAAGATCCCTTAGAGTCTGGTTCAAATCATCCTTTCCAGCTACCTATTCTACTATTTCCCTACATAAAACCCAGGATCAAGTCATGAAGGTAACATTTTTTATTTTGATCCTGCCTTGTATTTTTTCTATTCCATTAATATGTTCAGCCTGTCCCTTCTAGCTAGAATGTCCACTTTCCTGACCTGTGATCCTTACCCATTAAAATCTTATCCACCCTTAAGGCCCAGATCAAAAACCATTCCCCCACCCCGCACAAAGAGTTTCTTCTCTCTAGCCAGCAGTGATTGCTCTATAAATGTAAAACTTTAATAGAATTCTTATCACCTTTACAAAGTACATCTGGATGGGCTTGTCTGCTTTACCCCACATCCAAACAGCTGTGGCATCTGGTGCTGGGGAAGATGCTTGTGAAGAGGATAAGAGAAACTGATATTTTCTCTGGTTTTGACCCTAAGAAAGGTTGATTTTCTGTTAAATCAGTTTTTTACCATCATGGATAGATTTTTCATTGAGAAATAATTTCCTGGAGCTAACTATAATTAAATTACTTAATCACTTCTTTATAGAGCAGGGTTAAGCCATTTCAAAAAAAATTTTCATTCTATTTTTATTTTAATGAAACCATTTACATTGAAATCAATTTTCTCCATAAATTTTACAACACAGATTAAGTTCATCTATTAGTCTAATACTGGAGATTAACATTTTTACTACTGTCAGTTTTCTTTTGTATCTATTTCCTGTGTACAAACAACACTCAATTTCCTTGAGTCAGATTTTGCAGATCTCTCTTTTTCAAGAAATTGCTTGATATTTCCAACCATTTGTAGTCATTGGTAAATTTTAAACTCATAACTGTAGTCACCAGTTTGAGTTTATAGTGACTTTTACTACCAGAAAAATTTATTAGAAATTGGGTGTATGATTAATAGCCATTATTTAATTCTTGACACACGTAACGAAGAGAATTAGTAATTCAAAGGTGTAGAATCTGGGACACTGGGGAGTAAATTTTGGGATCAGAATATTCTGTGTTGGTCAATAAATGGGCAAGAAATCTAATGAATATTATATAGTGATTACTAACCAAGGAAAGAATTCTGTATCCTGGAGCAATTCTTCCTTCAGTTACTGAATGCATCTTGATTTATGCGGGGGACAATTTGTCTCAGGCTTCACTTGTTTCTCTCTCAGCCTGGCCCCTGCTGAGCCCACACTTGCGGCATTGACCTTCCTGCTTTCTCTTAAAACTCTCCCTGTCTGCCCTGTCAGTTCTAAGCCTTATTCTATTTTATGTTGCTTCATTTCTTGTTATTTTCCTCTTTCAATCCTATTCTTCTCTCTCATCTTTATCTACTCCACCTCAAGTATACATATCATTCTATTGTTTTTGTGTTGCATATTTTTGGAAATATAAGTAACATTTTTACTTTAATTTTGGGTGGTATGATTTTGAAATTGCAATAATGCATTTAGCTCAAAGTTTCTTCCTGTTTTCTATTGCTAGAGGATATCAATATCATGTAGTGGTTAGAGTTAGGTGTCCTGGTTCTCAGTATTTTCTTTACCACTTATTAGCCATCTGACCTTGAGCAAGTCTCTTAAATTTGCTGTTCTTCAATTTACTCATAAATAACCTGGGAACAATGACAACATCTATCTCATAGGGTTTTTGCAAGGAACAAATGAATTAATAATGTCCAGTGCTGAGAATAATGCCTGACACATAATAATTGCTACATGGGTGTCAGCTATTACATTGTTTTATTTGTATTTTCTCTCAACTCTCTGTTTTTAAGACCAAACCATGTTGCTGTTACAGACATGTAATTCCTTATTCTGAATGCTGCCCCGTGTTCCATGGTATGCACCTACTTGACTTTACTTTTTCAATAGTTCTAATAATGACTGCCTAGGTTGCTTTCAAATTTATGCTTTTTTTTTTTTTTTTTTTGAGACAGAGTCTTGCTCTGTCACCCAGGCTGGAGTGCAGTGGTGCAATCTCGGCTCACCGCCACCTCCGCCTCCTGTGTTCAAGCGATTTTCCTACCTTAGCCTTCCAAGTAGCTGGGATTACAGGCATGCAACATGCTCAGCTAATTTTTGTATTTTTAGTAGAGACGGTGTTTCACCATATTGGCCAGGCTGGTCTTGAACTCCTGACCTCGTGATCCACCCGCCTTGGCCTCCCAAAGTGCTGAGATTACAGGCGTGAGCCACCGCACCCGGCCAAATTTGTGCTATTACAAACACAGCTGCAATGAACATGTCCTCTTATAGGGCTGTGTAGGATTTTTTCTCATATGATGGGATCATAAAATGTACCCCCACTTTACTTCACTAAATACTTCTAGATGTTTTTAGAATGGCTTTACCAGATTACACTCCCACAAGTGCACGTTGCAGCTCCATGGATGTGGCGAGTTGTCCTTGGCTTCTAGTCCCATGTACAGGATCTGCATAAAATCACCCCTCTTAGCCTCCAGTTCTTGCTTGGAATCTTCAAGGATATTGTACATATACTCACAGTACAAGTTCATTCTGATACTTTGAGGTAAAGTCACTTTCTTCATTCCTACTCCAGCCCCATTCAGTGAAGTTTCCAGCCCCCACGGCACCACAACTGCCTTTAGAGGGTCTTACAGCTGCTGCTCATGTTGCCAGGGACAAGGCTCTTTTTGCCTCTGCGTTTGGCAACTCTTATTGCTTCCAGAGATGGTGGTATTGGTTCACACCCTAGTTCTGCCTTTCTCTGCTGCCTGGGTACTATCACCATTCTACCATCCTCTACTATCTCTGCCACATCTGGATCCCTGGTGGTCTATGTCTTTAATGTTCTAGGCCTACATTACGTTCTCTGGGTACCTCAATGCTCCAAAGCCATGGAATTTTCCATGGAAAAGCAGCAAGAATGCCTGGCTCCCCTTCTGTGTTTCCCTCTGCTTAGTCGGAGACAGTGGTGTGTGCATGCATGTGTGTGTGCGCGCGTGTGCGTGTGTGTGTGTGTGTGTTTGGGTGGTATGTTTGTTTTATGGAAAACAGTCCTTTTAGTTTTTTCCTTACTTGCAATGTTCCTTTGCAATCTCTAGGACTCAGATGCTCCTCTGTTGTGGTATGTGGACCACTGGTGACATGTGATGTGATTTTAAGTAGCACAGAGATAAGAGCAAGTTAAAAAAAATTGCATCATTCCAACAAAGTCAGCGTGATGGAAAATATTGAGCAAATAATTCAGGTGGTGTGAGAGCTAACAAAAATTGTAAAAATGGTACGCAAAGTAACTAAAGTTTAAGAAACACTGCCCTCAGATAAGGTCTAGAATTTCCTCAGTCTCTAATGTAAATATTTTTCTGGAGGACACAGCTCCGCTGTCTACCGCATATGCCCAGAGAAGTCTAAAGCTCTTTGGTGGGATACAGTTTAGCCTGAACCTGGGGCCCCCAACTCTAAACCCTGTAGCATCACCTGGGGACTCTTTCCTGTGGCTTTACTTCTGTCCTTATTTCTTTTTCATAGCATTTCCTCTTCTCTCTTTGATTCCTAGAGTTTAATAAATTTGAATTCAATTAAATTCAATATTTAGTCAGAAGACAGAGTTTTATCTAGGCTTTTTTTTTTCTTTTTTTTTTTTTTTGACTTTTTATTTTGAAATAATTTTAGGCTTGCAGAAAAGTTGCAAAACAGCATGGAGAGCTTCTTTCTATTCTTCACCCAGCATCGTCTAATGTTAACATATAGGACCATCATACCATTATCAATACCAAGAAATTAACATTGGACAATACTATTCACTAAACTACAGACTTTATTTGGATTTCACCAGTTTTTCCATTCATGTCTTTTTTTCTGTTTTAGGATTCAATCCAGGATCTTTGTCAAGTCTCTGTACTCTCCTCAGATCTGTGACAGTTACTGTCTTTGCTCATCTTTCATGACATGTATACTTTTGAAGATTATAGTTGTTTTATAAAACATCTGTCAGTCTGCATCTGTCCAATATTCTCTCACTAATGGGTTGAGATTGTGCGGTTTTTGGTAGGAATGTCACAGAAGTGACGTGTCTTTCTCAGTGTACCTTGTCAGGGACGTGTGATGGCTATGTGCCTTATGACAGTTGATGTTAAGCTCAATTACTTGCTTAATTTAAGGTAGTGTCTGCTGGATTTCTCCATTGTGAAGTTACTATTTTTCCTTTTTGATTAATAAATGTCTTGGGGGAGATAGTTTGAGACATTCCAGTTTCTCAAATTTTCACCTACTAGTTTTAGTATCCACCAGTGGGGTCTTGTCTGCAGACTGATTACTGTGGTGGTCTAATGGCCACTTTCTAGTTCCCTCATTCCTTCTCCACTTACTATGGAAATTCTGATATAAAGAAGAGATATATTACCCCCACATTTTTGATATTTATTTTATTCTATGGGTTAGAATACTATTTATTTGTATATTCATTTGTATTTGCTCAAATTTTTTCAGCTTTGGCCATTGGGAACACTTTAGTTGGTTCCTCTGTTCTTTCCCTTTGCCGTCTCATCCTTTTTGGAATAATTCCTTACCTTATGGCTCTTTAGGATCATCTTGTTTCCCCTGTCTGAGCTGTAAGAACAACCACTTCTCCAAATGTTCCCTTTTATTGGAGAAAGTCTTTAGAAACCAAAATGTGGGCCAGGCGCGGTGGCTCACGCCTGTAATCCCAGCACTTTGGGAGGCTGAGGCGGGCAGATCACCTGAGGTCAGGAGTTCAAGACCAGCCTGACCAACGTGGTGAAACCTCATCTCTACTAAAAATAACAAAAATTAGCCAGGTGTGGTGGCAGGCACTTGTAATTCCAACTACTTGGGAGGCTGAGGCAGGAGAATCACTTGAACCTGGGAGGCGGTGGTTGCAGTGAGCCAAGGTCATGCCATTGCACTCTAGTTTGGGCGATGGAGTGTATATATATATATATATATATATATATATATACACACACACACACACACACACACATTAACTCATGCATATATGCAGATTGTCATCTATTATCTATCTAGCTATCATCTGTCTGCCTGCCTATCTATCTCTCTCTCCCTCCCAAACAATACATTCTAGATAGGCACTTCGTTGTGTCTTGCTTTTGCTTTAACTGTTCTCTGCCTACTTCACTCTTAGGTCATATTTTTTCATTTGATCTGTTTTTTCCATGGGATTTTTTATTTCCCATGGTAGAAAGTAGTAGGATCTCCTGCTTGCCTATTACTGAGCGAGTTTTACCTACAGCTCCAGAGGTTAATGTGTATTCACATATATTTATATCTCCATCAAAATCTATCTATCTGGTAAAAGACTGCAAGTTCATACTAATACCTCCAATTCCAATCCAGCAACACAGGATTTATTCTAGTCTTCATTTTCCTTTTTACTGTTTGTCCTTCTTTCTTCATTAGTGAAAAACCTGCCTTTCATTATCTGTAAACTACTTATTTGCTTAACATTAGAATACAATTAAAGTATATTTAAATTTTCTAACCTGTGCCCCTTCAAGAAACAAGTTTACTAACCTGAGTACAGTATTCAGGTATGGTTCCTTCTGTCTTTAGCCTCAAAATGTCCAGTTAAAATTCTGCTTTAAAAATGTACTAAGGTTAGTTGTCTTTTTCCCTAATCCCTTTACTATGGTTAAAAAGGATATTATGAAACAGAGACTGCAGTACTCTAGTCATGAAGATTTTTTGGAGGCTGGGGTGCAGTGGCACAAGCTCAGCTCACTGTAACCTCTGCCTCCCTGGTTCAAGCAATTCTCCTGCCTCAGCCTGCTGGGACTACAGGTGTGTGCCACCATGCCCGGCTAATTTTTGTATTTTTAGTAGAGACAAGTTTTCACTATATTGGCCAGGCTGATCTTGAACTCCTGACCTTAGGCGATCTTCTTGCTTCAACCTCCCAAAGTACTGGGATTACAGGCATGAGCAGTCATGAAGATTTTTAAAAACATATATTTCTTCAGGTATGCAACTATTGAAATTTATAGCAAACACCCCCAGTTTGTCTCCCAAATCTGACCTGTACCTGGCCTCTACTTTTCTTTCTTAGGACCTCTAAGAAATCTGTTTATTCTTTCTCTTTTCATTAAAATCCAATCCTTGATTCAGCTTCAGTTTCCCACTGGACACTCAAGGAAACAAGAGTCAACTGGCTATTTTTGCTTTCCCCAGGGCCACATAATTTGCTGTTAGCAAGCTTCTGTGACTCTCCATGTTTTTCTGATGTATGTCAGAACCTCAGGTAAAAGTTCAGCTACTAAAACTCTTATTTTGGGGAGGAAGCTAACAATGAAAGTTTTAGGAGACTCAAGACTTCTTTTCTCCACTGATTAGGTGGGTATGGCTGCAGACTGGCTAGTGATGACCGTTATATGGCATAGGCCTAGAGAAAGTTTGGTTAGATGAGAATAAAACTCCTTGGGCCCAGAATTCTTCTAGTAAGAAAGATCGATCTAGGACAGAGTTGCCAAGGGGATGTTTGTCATTTCCCCAGATAAACTACCACATTGAATTGTGGGAACAACGGAAATCCTTGCAAAAGACAGAATTCTGATGTCATCTCAGATTATTTTTTCTTCTAGCTTTGAAACATTGTTTTAGCTTTCACTGTTGTTACTTCTTTGACCGTGATCCCTCAGATCCAGCTAAGCACATCTTCACCAGCTCAGCCAGACACCGCTGGGGCCACACTCTATCCTGTGTGTCTCTGACTGCTTGCTTTCATGCCCAGTCATGACCCTAGTTTGCTGTCTCTGTTCTACTTTTGCTCATGTAGCAGCCCTACCCTAAACCCTGGTGGTGACTCTGATGCTGAGTGCACCCTTTACTTAACCCAAGCAAAACGGTCCAGGCAGGTACTTCTCTGTATCTTGTTTTCACTTTAATTGTCCTCTGCCTACTTGCTATTTTTTATTTGATCTGTTTTTCCGTGGGATTTTTGTTTCCATGGTAGAAAGTAGTAGGATCTCCTGTTTACCCATCACCAAGGGAGATTTACCTATAGCTCCAGAGATTAATATATATTCATATATATTTATATCTCCATCAAAATAGATACACAATAAATCCCGAGCCTGATCATAAGGAGGATGTGACACTGTGCCATCACCTACACTGTCATCTACAGTTATTAAGCTGTGAACTCTCTTCAGCGGCCTTTCCTCACCCTACTGATTTTCATACTGTTTCATTAACTCTCACTATCCACATTTTTTGGCTCTTTAGGCATACGTTTGTCCCAAAAGGGAGGGTTGAGGATTTTGGTCTGAGTGAATTATAAACCACAGGTCCTGTTGGCATAAACTAAATTATTTCTATCTGCTAAGCCTAGGTTCTTCCACCTCTATAAATCTCTAGAAACTTCCCCATGTATATCTTTAAATTTATTAATTTTACTCTGCACGAAGATTATTTATACTTCTTCAGTTACTTTGACTTACTCATCAGAACTGCTCGTGGCAATGAAACATTTAGTGAAAAACCATATAAAGACAATTAATTTGAGTTTCCCCCCATCTCTGTTCAGACGTGGGTTGGAGGCGTGGAGCGAGTCCAAGGGGAGAAAATTTGTGAGTAGATGGAACTCAGCTTTTGGGAAAGGGACTTTTAGTGCTGTCACTCATCAAGCTTTATTAGGCTTCTGATCAATTTCTAATTAAAGAAAACATGAATCCTCATATGACAAGGGGAAAAGGTGATTCCTAAGTAAAGTACTGAATGTCTTGTCTCTTAATTCCCAATTTATCAAAACAAATCAAAACACTCACTGGTAATTTTAATCTAGACCCCCACAATTTTTTTTTACAGGCCTTGTTTGCTTTTAGGTATAAGAAATCCCAAAAGTTCTTACATTTTTATTCTATTGTTCGAGATCATTTTGGAAAAAGAAATATGCTTCAGAACATTTGGTGAAAAGATGACAAATGTTAATTTTATTTTAGACTCTATAAATACAATTTTATATTATTTATTTGAGATGGATGTATTACTTTCAGATTTTTGCTCTGGTATAGCATAATAATTGATCCCATATTTCTCAGATAAGCCGGTAAGGAATATATCACTTTGATACAGTGTAACTCTATAGGAAAAAAACCCAGTATTTCTTTATGAAATACTAAACATAAGTTTGTTTAATCAAATTCCTTTGGAAGACAGGTGAGAAGGGAGAAGGTGGACAATTTATTATGAAATAATAATAAGATCAATTTCATGTCGACCAATTAGCAGAAATGCCAGTTTATCACATAACATGTGTGTCCATTTTATATAATTAAGTTTGTTTCTCAAACCAGATATTTATAAGTAAATTCTGGGCTTGTTTTATGTTTTCCCTCTATCATATAAATTATATTTATGGCTAATCCATTCACAGAACTACCAAGCGAGAGGGGATCTTAAAAATAATTTAGCTAACTTCCCATTTTATATACGGGGAAACTGAGGGAACAGTCAAGAGACTTAGTGTCTTTAGCTACTTTTCTACTCTCCTTAATAGCCTTTGCCTAATTCAAATAATACCATATTCCCTGATGTCACTTCCTGTATGCTCCTCTGCTTTTAAGCAGGTGTTTATCCCATATAAAGAAAATGGAGGTTGAGGGAGAAATAACCTACCAGATAATCGGTACACTTTTCTATGAAGATTTTGTGAATCTGGTAACACAATCCTTTGAAGCAGGATGAGGACGACCTGTTCCACTATCACCTGGCTCCTTCCTTCTTGAATAAGAGTGTGAACACTGGAGGGGGTCAGCTGATGCTTATTCCAGTCTTTCCACCTGGATGCTACCTCCTTTGCAACACATATTTGAGTTTATGCTTTCCATTTATTGTTCCAGTAAAGACTTGGCAGAAGTGTGATATAAGACAACTACTATGGTGTCAAATAAGGCACATCACTGATGGGTGCATTTCATAAAGTTACTTAAAGGGAACTTTAGCAAATAGAGATAAGAGCTGGAATGGAGGCAGAGTCTTAGTGAGTGGAAGTGCCATGCAGTGGAAAGAAGGCTGGTCGAGAAATTCAGTCTGAGCACTGCTTCTCTACTTGTCATGAGTTATGTGATGTTGGGCTAGCCAGTTAAACTTCCTGGGACTAGTTTTCTGAAAATGATAAATGAGAAAGTGGATTAGATGAGTAGTTGGTAAACTCAAACGCCTTCGAGGGCCGTGGGGTTAAAACAAGAACTTGAAATGGCTAAGTATAAAACAATGAGGAGCTATAGAGACTGTGAAGGGTGTGCACATACCCTAAACACATTCAAATGAAAATTGATTGAAAACATTGTACTAGGTATTGGTGAAGATGTAGAGTAACTAGAATTCATATATTGCTGGGGAGTATATACATTAGTTCAGTTGTTTTGGAAAACTGGTTGGCAGTTAAAAGTATAATTTTAAACTATTACTTAAGAGCTCACAATTTAACTCCTGTGTAGAAACACATCAGAAATCAATGTTTATGTCCACCAAAAAACATATAAAAAAACTTCTCAGAGCAGCTTTATTCAGGCACGAAAGGCTATATATTATTCCATCTGTGCAAAATTTAAAAATAATCAAAATTATTCTGGGGTGATAGTTGTCAGAATAGAAGTCATTTTGGGTTATTTTGGTTACGTAAGAGTGGTATAAGGGACCATATATTCACATGCACGTATATGTTCATCACAGCACTACTCACAACACCAAAGACATGGAATCAACCCAGATATCCATCAGTGGTGGACTGGATAAAGAAAATGTGGTATGTATACACCATGGAAACGTGGCATATATGCAGCCGTGGAAAAGAATGAGATTATGTCCTTTGCAGCAACATGGATGGAGCTGGAAGCCATTACTCTTAGTCAATTAATGCAGGAACAGAAGACCAAATGTTGTGTGTTCTCTCTTGTAAGTGGGAACTAAACATTAGGTACACATGAACACAAAGACAAGAACAATAGACACTGAGGCCTACTTGAGGGTGAAGGGTGGGAGGAGGGTGAGAATCAGAAAATACCTATCAGGTATTATGCTCATTACCTGGGTGATGAAATAATCTGTATGTCAAACCCCCCACAATACGCAATTTACTCAGGTAACAAACCTGCACATATACCCCCTAAATCTAAAATAAAAGTTAGAAAAAGAACTTTATTTTTTTATCCATTACAATTTTTTAGAACATTTTATACAATAATTTTTATTCAACATTGCAACACCATGTAAATCTTATTTCTATTTTTGATCATAAATTTGTTATTTCTGAAGATAACATATTTAAAGAAAATTAAAACACCCCATCAAACACACACACACACACACACACACACACACACACACACACACACATGCACACCCCACCTCCCCACACACAGAGTGGTATAAGAAGCTTTGTGAGAATTTTCTGTATCTTGATTGGGGTGTAGTTATATTAGAATATACATATATAAAAGTTCACTTAAGATGTGGACACTTCACTGTAGCTAAGTCGTATCTTGATATATAGAAAGAAAAAAGTAAAAAAGGAAGAAAGAGAAGAATTAAGAAAATAAAAAGAAACATTTTGTTGGGGAAAATAAAACCATCTCCATAGATAGAATTCTGCCGAGAGACTGCCACTTTTCTATTCCTGGATTTGGTGATCTTTAAAATCCTCTTCAGCTATAACAGGCAATGATTGTTTGAATGAGAAAAAGTGTAAGGTGAAAATTTGAGAATGGCAAAGTAAAGTTAACACCAACTTTTATGGCCCAATATTATGATTGTCAATGGGCGCATTAACAAGAAAATGATACTAACTATAAAAATTCTAAATTGCTGTGTCAGGTCCCCACTTTCCTTACCTGAAAGCTATGGTTACCTTGTGCATCATAACACTGACTGTAAATTAGGAAACTCATTTTACTTCCTCCATCTGCAGAGACCAGTGCTTAAAGAGGGTGCATTTGAAATGGATTTTACAATTCAAATTTAGTTACACAAAGGCTTACCACTCTGAGCAAAAATAAAAATCTTCCCTCTGCTATTGTAATCAAAACAATACCCTGAGCTTACAGCTCTGTGTACGTATTGCAACCAGAGTGATTTAGGTTAAACTCTGATTCAAACATCTAAGAAATTTAGGAGCAGGTAAAACCAGCATCTGCTTTATTGGTATATTTGGTGGGAGGGAAGGAATTGTTACCCACATGTTCAGAAGAACATCACCTTCTTCCCACAGCTTTTTAAAAAAATTTTTATTTTACTTTAAGTTCCAGATATATGTGCAGAACGTGCAGGTTTGTTACACAGGTATGCATGTGCCGTGGTGGTTTGCTGCACCTATCAACCCATCATCTAGGTTTTAAGCCCCACATGCATTAGGTTTTAAGCAGTGACGGGAAATCCACAGTCATGCTTTACAAGAAATTATAATATTGAGTTATCATACCTTGGCATGATTATACTTTCTTTTGTATAAATATGGCCTCTAATTTAAGATTTTAAAACTCTGAAGAAATAAAAGAGCTAGCATTTACTTTGTTTTATCTATGTATTTTTAAACTTTTAGATTCAGGGGTACACGTGAAGGTTTGTTACCTAGGTAAACTCATGTCATGCAGGTTTGTTGTACGATTATTTCATCACCCAGGTATTAAGCCCAGTAACCAATAGTTATCTTGCCTGCTACTCTCTCTTCTCCCACCCTCAGCCCTTAAGTAGACCCCAGTGTTTGTTTCCTTCTTTGTGGTCATGAGTTCTCATAATTTAGCTCCCACTTATAAGTGAGAACATGCAGTACTTGGTTTTCTGTTCCTGCGTTAGTTTGTTAAAGATAGTAGCCTCCAGCTCTGACCGTGTTCCCACAAAAGACATAATCTCATTGTTTTTTGTGGCTGAAGAGTATACATATAGGGTATATGTATCACATTTTCTTTATCCAGCCTGTCATTGATTCCATGTCTTTGCTATTGTGAGTAGTGCTGCAGTGAACATTTGCTTGCATGTGTCTTTATGATAGAATGATTTATATTCCTCTGGATATGTGCCTAGTAATGTGATTGCTGGGCTGAATGGTAGAGCTGCTTTTAGCTCTTTGAGGAATCGCCACACACTGCCTTCCACAATGGTTGAACTAATTTACACTTCCACCAACAGTGTATAAGTGTTCCTTTTCCTCCGCAACCTCGCCAGTATCTGCTATCTTTTGACTCTTTAATAGCCAAAACTAGCATTTATTGAGCTTATAATATGTATACAGCTCTTAACTTCTGTCCTTCACTGAATTCTAAAACACGCTTTCACAGGAGAAAAAAGTGAGCCTTTGGGAATATAAACACCTAGCTCTCGGTGAGATACTCAGAATTTACCTTGAATTTGTCTGACTTTAAAGCTTGTTTTCCTTCTACTGCATCCTTCCAGTGGCTCCTTTAAAGGAAGAATTGACATTTAAAACAATTTGTGGCCAGGTGTGGTGGCTCACACCTGTAATCCTAGCACTTGGGATGTCGAGGTGGGCAGATCACGAGGTCAGGAGATCGAGACCATCCTGGCCAACATGATGAAACCCTGTCTGTACTAAAAATACAAAAATTAGCTGGGTGTGGTGGCACACGCCTGTAATCCCAGCTACTCAGGAGGCTGAGGTGGGAGAATCTCTTGAACCTGGAAGGCGGTGGTTGCAGTGAGCCGAAATCATACCACTGCACTCCAGCCTGGCGACAAAGCGAGACTCAGAGCAACAACAACAACAAACAAACAAAACAATTTGCTCTGTGTTTGGACTCACCTACAACTTTAAGTAAATGTTAAAGTACTGGCATAAATATTAGACCACAGAGTTAGTTTTCCAATAGATATCACTTGTTTCCATTTCCTATGAATTGAAGTTACTTCATTTTTTCTTCTTTCTGTTTGGTAGAAGTTTGACCTCAGTCAATTCAAGTTGTACCTAATTTTGGGTAATCCCCATTCGTGAGGTTACCCATTAATCTTGGAGGGTTGATGAGTGTGGTGCTTGTTTATTATCTGTTCAGGCTGGCCTGTGTCACCAGACCACGTGGGTTATAGCCGTGTCATTCAGAGTTTAGGATATTCTCAGGTGTGACTCCATGTCTGATACTTCCTTGATCCTCTGTAAGACTTGGGGAAATTTGAATACTTTTTTTTACTGTTCTCTAGGTCAAGGGAAACTCTGCAGGCTGTCTCTGGCCATGGTGCCATATCTTTTCTACTGATCCTTAACACTACAGAAGTTTGCCTGTTTGTTGGGATGGGGGTTGTTGAGAACAGGGAGAGGACTTTGGGCTCTTGTGCTTTTCTAAGCTCTTTTCTCTTGAATATTTAAATATTTAGGGTGTTGTCACTTTCCCTTCCTCACCCTTATGACAGAAACCTTATAGTTGAGGAAAGGAGGATGGTAAAGGTATTAAATAGCACATCCTTGGAAATCATTTTCATGTTATACGGAGACTTATTTTGGCTCCCTCAATCGGTTAACCCATAACAACTCTCCCTAGAGAAAATGAATGTTCAATTGGGATTAGAGAAAACAATGGGGGGAAAAACCCCCATATAGACTGTGAAATGTTAAACATATTCTCTATGTCATGCATATAATCAACACTCGGTTAATACTTATTAAGTTAAATGAAATATTACAGCAGAGGTAATATATTTGTCAACCTAAGGATTTTCAAAGCTGGATGAGCATCAAAGTCACCTGGGAAGATTTTAAAATTCAGATTTTTAGGCTCCATCCTTGGAGTTTCAAACCTAATAGATGTGAAGAGCAGTTGATAAATTCTGTTAAAAAAACAAACAAAAATACCTCACGTAATTGGACAAATTTGAGAACTACCAGCTTAGCTGATCTGACTACCCAAGTTTATTCAGTATTACCCTATGAAGTGCAGAGCAGGGTCCTAAGAAAATAGAATATTGATAAGCATTTTGGTAGTAAAAGAAATATGAATATATCTGAAACTTAGTAGAACATGCTTGGAAATATGGAATATAAACTTCTTTTGTGCATACATTTTATTTGTCTCAAGATCAAGGAATGGATTTGGGGCATTTATAACCCTACCTCTTCAGAGACTCTTTACCTTCTTGATTTTTAATCCTCTCTCCACATCAAAACAGGCAGAATTTGATGTAATTTACTTTAGCAATAAAACTAATTTATATACATGTGTTAATTCCAAAGTCATTTGAAGTTTAGCCTTTTATTTTTAATATTCAAATATAAGATTTGAGTTCTAGTAAAAGATTAGTTGGAGAACCAGTCTGAGAGATGTTTTTAGAGCTGGAATGGCCTTCTTGTTTCAAAAATCCTACTGCATTTGAGGCTTGCTTTAAAATTAAACGTGCTTTAGTAATTTTAGTTATATCATGGTGGTGGTGATGGAGGAGGAGGATGGAGGAGAGAAGACAACAAAAAGCCCAGGATAATCCCACTTGCTTGTTTCCTTTCATGTTAATTAATTCATGCATTTGTCCAAATACTTATTGATAGACATCGTTGCCAGTAATCAGAAACAAGATCAGTGTATTAGTCAGGGTTCTCCAGAGAGATAGAACCAATAGGGTGTACCTGTGTGTGTGTGTGTGTGTGTGTGTGTGTGTGTGTTTCTGTGAGTACATATCTGTGTGTGTATATATACATATATATACATTTATATTCTATAAATAGAATACATATATGTGTATATATGTATAAGTGTATTCTATATGTATTCTACTTATATGCATTTATATATATACATGCCCACATAAGTATTCTATATATTTGTATTATTTTACATATACGGAAACACATATATGTATTCTATTTATGTGTGTGTATATATATGTATATATGAACATATTCTATTGTATTCTATATGTGTTCTATTTATATATGTGTGTATACATATAAATAGAATACATATATATGTTTGTCTATATACATGTAAAATATGTACAAGAGGGGATTTATTAGAAGCACTGTCTCCATGATTACAGAGGCTGAGAAGTCCCATGACAGGCCACCTGCAAATTGGATATCCTGGACTGCCAGTAGGGTGGTTCAGTTCAATTCGAAAAGCCTCAGAATCCGGAAAGCTGGTAGTGTAACGTCTAGTCTAAGTCTAAAGGCTTGAGAGCCAGGGGTTGAGGTGGGCACCACTGGTATAAGTCTTGGAGTCCAAAGGCTGGAGAACAGGGAGTTCTGATGTCCAAGGGCAGGAGGAGGAGAGCGTGCCAGTTCCAGGGGGACGAGAGAGACCCATTCACCTTTCCTCTATTATTGTACTATCCAAGCTTCCAGCCAATTGTGTGGTGCCCACCCACATGCAGGTGTATCTTCTCCACTCAGTCCACTCAGACTCACACGTCAATCTCCTCTGGAAATACCCTCACAGAGACACCCCCCAAATAATCTTTTACCAGCTTTCTAGGTATTTCTTAACCCAGTTGACACCTAAAAGTAACTGTCACAAACAGTAAGATGTGGCTTTGACTTGGGAAAACCTATAGTCCAGGGAAGGAGATGGATATACAAAAATTTCAAAAAAACCTAAGTGGTATGTTAGAAGGTCCCAGTGGATCATTACGTGCAACATATAGCCATGTTTAGGGACACTAAGAAATGTTTTCTAGAGACAATGAATGCAAGTGGAGTCTTGAAGAATGAATACAGTCTTCTGGTGAAGGGGATGCAGAGAGGGAAGGGCACTTCATGAAGAAGAAACAATGTGCAAAGGCGGAGTTAGGAAAGTAAAGGGTGTGTGTTTGGAGACAGTATTGTTAACTTGATAGAGCTGGA
Source organism: Homo sapiens (assembly GCF_000001405.40). Classification (NCBI taxonomy): domain Eukaryota; kingdom Metazoa; phylum Chordata; class Mammalia; order Primates; family Hominidae; genus Homo; species Homo sapiens. The sequence goes on from NC_000007.14 coordinate 144,972,786, forward strand.
AAATGAGGAGAATGGCAGGATACAGGGCTTGCATAGGTTTGGAAAGGGCCCAGTATTACATCAATGATGTTAAACTTGGTTCTGTGGGCAGTAGGGGACATATCAAAGGTTTTTAAGGAGAGGAGTGACATGACAAGGTTTATAGAAAAAAAATATATACTCCAAGTCCGTGGGGGATGAATTAGAGGGAGGAGGTGGTGGGGCAGAAAGACAAGTTAATACAGGAGCCAGAAGATGAATGCTTAAAATAAAACAATTACATAGAAAATGAGAGAAAAGATGATTTGGAAAGTAAAGAATTAGAATTGACAGGACTTGATATGAGAACATCTCTATTCTTAGTTTGGATTCTCTCAGATGCTAACCCTGAGATAAGGACATGAGTGGATGAAGCACAGAAAATGCTGGAAGGGAAGTGGGAGAGGGGCGAGGTGGGGGCAATGGGGCTAGTGGTGCCTTGCTTCCTAATGACCACAGCAAAACTCAAGGGAACCTGGGAAGATGTGCAGAATATGATCCTCAGAATTCTCCCTCTTGGGGAGTGAGGGAACTTCACCTTCAAGTGGAGTGACGGAGAGGGGAAAGTTGTGCTGATTTGAAGAGTGAATGGGAAGCCCGAAAATAATAAAAATGAGTCTAAAATCGGTTTAATCTATTGTTGAGGAGAAAGAGTGAAGGCAGCAGTTTGAGAAAGACACAAAACCAATTTCAAAAACTGGGGAGATTGAAGTTTCCTTTTTGGCCAAAGGGAACAACTTAGCAGAAAGAGACCGAAGATGAGAGAGAGAGAGAGAGAGACTTGCCATTATGGATGGAAAACATTTCCGGACATGTTGGAGTTGCAACTGCCAAGCCACAGCTTCAGCAGCTGCCTCTTCTGAGAGAAGTGGATGGACACTTTGTCCTCTCAGGTGAAATGGAGAGAAGTGAGCATTGGGGAAGCATACAGATACATTTTTAGGTGGAGGGAAGCTCAGTGGAAGGAGTTCATGTTTCTGTGCAGTAAGAAAAAGAACATGAATGAACCTAGGATAGCAATGTATCTTCGTCACAGATGGGAAGAGCAGGAGGCTTCTTTGTCACTGGATCCCTAACATCCTGAAGTGTGGATGGAAAGAAAGACTCCCCCTAAACAGTTATTGAGTTTAATGAAAGAACTAAAAGTGAATCACACTTCACCGATGCTAAGAAGCAGGCGGCTTCTTTGTTCATCACTGGATCCCTAACATCCTGAAGTGTGACTGGAAAGCAAGAATACCCCTAAATAGTTATTGAGTTTGATGAAAGAACTAAAAGTGCATCATACTATACTAACAGGAAAAGTGTAAAAAATATCTGTGTTCAAATCCCATCTTGCTGTATCACATTGAATAAATTACTTAATGTTAATTCCGAGAGATACAATGAGTATTCAATATTATTTGGTAGATGGCAAAATAAGAAGTAATTATACATGATTTTTATTCTGCTTGTTATACATCTCAAATAGTAAGTATACCTTGATTGTAGGGTATGAACATTTCATGAACTTTCCTCTTTGTTCTGCCCTATTATAAAGGAAAGTATACATTAAAGCTTGACTTTTTATTCAAGGACTCTTAAATGTTATAATATTCTCCAATAAAATAAAAACAAATTATTTGAAAACAAAGAATTTGTCATCCTAAGGTGAAATATGCGTGAACATATTTTCTCATTCTATCGGAATTAAATATAGTACCCAAAGTTTGAAACGGAGGTTATTTAATGATGTTGGATTTTAAAACTTCCCTAAATGTTATTCAGCACCAGGTGGGATCGCTAATTTCACAGCTGAATTAATATACAGCAGGTTTCTGAGAAGTTAGAGAAAGAAGAGAAATCAATAGAGTGAGGTTTAATCAAGATAAATGGAAAGCAATCCACTAGGGAAAGACCAAATCTGAAGGGGAAAAAAAATAATATAAGCCAGAAAATGTAGGTTAGAAGTCATTAATGTGAGTGGAAAAAAAGGTGCTAAGGTGATGGTTATTAATAAATTTGATGTGAGCTCACAATGAGATCCTACTGCAAAACTGGATGAATGTCATGTAAGAAAGTCTTCAACGGTATATGTAAGAGTGGGGGAATAAATATCCCCTCCCCACCTTTTTTTTTTAAAGCAGATTTTTGAGTCTATATATAAAACAATTCAGTTATCCTATGGCCCTCACTTTCTGCTTCTTGAAATGGCTGTGAGATTTAAGACACAAGGCAAAACAACAACGAAAGTCGTCCACATAACTGGAGAATTATCAGGCCTGTTGCATCACACTGGACCACTTGCTCTTCCTCAGACTGCTGTATCTCATTACCCTTCTGTGCCTTTGCTGGTTTGTTTTTTTCTTTTTTCCCCCTCTGCCTGCTCCTACACTCCTCCATTCTCTGGGTACAGAAATTCATTTCATTCATCTAGGGCAACCTCAAATGTAACCCCATTGGTGAAGACTTTTTTGAATTCAGCTGCTGTCTGCAATATGCTATACTGCCTTCTGTCTGACTGCCTTCCCATGAGAAGCAGGATGGGGTGGGAGGAAAGTACTAGAATGGGAGAGGAGGTGAAGCGGGGCATGTGCTATGGGTTTGACTTGGGCAAGGCTGGGTCTAGAAATTTCAGAATTACCTATATTTAAGGATCTTTACACTATAGGATCACAAGTAGAAAGCACACTCTGTGAGAGATGCTCTTGAGGATACAGAGATGCTTGGGGGATAAATGACTTCAATAGACTTCCTTGAAAGCATATCATTAGATCTCTACACCAGTTATCAAGGTTTTGTCTCTCAGCTCCAAATGCTTGATTAAAGGGGGGCAGAACATAAGACTAGATTAGCAAAATTCATCTGCTTGGTAGTTCTTTTTCTGGGACATGGATTTAATACCTCATCAAGGACCTCAGGCGAGGAGGTGTACTCTTGCCAAAGGACACAAAAATAGTAGGAATATTGCTCCTTCCCATATACTCAGTGATATGGAAGGCTGTCAGTATTGAGTGGCTCTGCAGAAGATTCAGACTGTCTTTGGATTTGGGTCATATAATCCAATTGACCCTATAATATTGGTACTAGTGGTGATAAAAGATTCTGTGTAGATTTCACGGCAATTCCCAATGAGAAAAGCACAACACAGGCCCCTGGAATTTGAAGCCAGACCATGGCAATTGCAGCAGAGAATTATAAGTCATTTTAGAAACAGTTCCTCATATGTAGGGATCCTGGTAGAGACTGAACCCTTCAGCGTGAGTCACCAAGTGACGATGCATCTTGAACTACCTATCATGGGCTAAGTGAAGTAGGAACTGCAGAGTCAAGAAGTCAGATGAGTCAGCAGCACTGGATCACAAGATGGAAATGGTGCACCTAGAACCAAATCCAGGAAGGGCCAGAGGACATGAGTAAGATGCATAAGCAGGTAACTCAGATACCCACGACAGTACAGCACCAGACCTTTCACTTACTACAGTGGTCATGTGGTGGGTCTGGTATGACCGGCTAAACAAAGAGGGGGCAGTCTAAGTTTTGTTTATGAATGAGTCTGCTTGGTATGTGTGTGGAAGCTGAAAATGGATAGCGGCTACATTATAGCCACACTCAAAGATGGCTTTGAAGATAGTGGAGAGGGAAAATCTATCACACATTGATGCTACCAGGAGGCATTCACTGTGAATGGGTCATGGAACACCAAGGAGACAAAATGGCATGGCCAGTCAGTGTTATCCAGCCTTTGTCACCAGCCTTCCTGGATCTGGCCCAATAAACACATTGCTGGAGTGGCCATTGTGTCAGAGATGAACACTGTGCATGGGCTTGACGACAGAGTCCCCATTTGCCAAAGGCTATCTGGACACTGGTGCCTCTGAATGTCTAACCTGATACCAACAAAGACCAACTTTGAGCCCTCTAGATGGCACTATTTTTTGAGGAATCTGATTTGGTGGCAAGGAGACTCCATCTTGGAAGGGATAGAGATTTGTCCAAAGAGACGCTTGTGTATTCTTGGTAAGAATTTGCCTTTCTGGCCCTTAGTGCTTCAGCTAGCACTGTCGTCCTGGAGCTTTTAGAATGTTTGATCCACAAGTGTGGAATCCTACTAATCATCCCAGGTGCGATCCACTTACAGCAAAGGAGGCGTGAGAATGGGCCTACAACCGCTGGATTTACTGGTTGTATCATATACTTACAGTATCAAGAAGTAACTGGCCTGTTGCTCTAACAGGCCTTCTAGCAATGGCCTTCTCAAGACATAGGTGAAGCTCCAGCTTGAAGGCAATAATCCGAAAGGATGAAGAAGCACCATACTCAGAATGCACACTATACATTTAAACAGAGACCTAAATGTGATGCTCTGCCAATAATAGGAAGAATATATGGGCCCAGGTACCAAGGTGGGTAGCAGAAGGGTTCCTCTTGCCATCATCTCTGACATACTGGAGGACATTGTACTTCTCATCCCTATAATTCTGGGCATTGCATTGCTAGAGTTCCTTGCCTAAAGTGAGAGGACTCTTACAAGGAGACATAGCAAGAGTTTCATTCAACTGGAACACTTTGGACATCTTGTGTTCAGGGTCTCACAGGTAAGAAGAGACTCATCATTTGGTAGAATAATTGACACTGATCAGCAGAAGGAGGTAGCGAAACTTTCAGACATTGATGGTTAGGAGGAATGTATAGAAAGCAAGTAATCTCTGAGCACATCTTGGTACTCTCTTATCTCAACATAAGTCTACATGGACCTATGCAGCAACTCTGAAGAAAGAACCGTGTGAAAACCAGGAGATCAGATCCTTCAGAAATGATATTTTGGGTCACACCACCAGGTAGGCCACCAGGACCTGTGAACGTGGTAACTGCGGGGAGGGAAATATAGAGAATCTCAAATTTGTTTTTCATGTTACTGATCTCATTTGCATTTTTGTTGTTTATTAACTGTGATGCTAATTTAATTTTGCAAATATATTTTAAATGCTTTACAGTTCTTATGCACCTCTCTGCTTTAAAATTCTTATTGTCTCTTTTTCAAAAATTTAAAACTGTGGAAGTTGATATGACTTCCTGCCAAAGTTTCACAGCAATTTTTTAAAAATATCTTTCTGAGGATTCTTCTACTTTACAACTTAGAAGTCTTCTCTTTGTCTAAGCCTTCTACAAGATGTTTTCTTTTCCTTGTCCTGCAGTATTCTGAATTCCTGTTTACGTATATATTTATATTTATATATTTATTTTCTGGGGGGGATGGAGTCTCGCTGTGTCCCCAGGCTGGAGTGCAGTGGTGTGATCTTGGCTCACTGCAACCTCTGCCTCCTGGGTTCCCGGATTCTCCTGCCTCAGCCTCCCAAGTAGCTGGGACTACAGGCGCGTGCCACCATACCTGGCTAATTTTTTTGTACTTTTAGTAGAGATGGGGTTTCACTGTGTTAGCCAGGATGGTCTCAGTCTCTTGACCTCATGATCCGCCTGCCTCGGCCTCCCAAAGTGCTGGGATTACAGGCGTGAGCCACTGTGCCTGGCCTTGTTTACTTATAGTTAAATGGTAAGAGCTCTATTCACATCTGGCAGTTGTCAACCACCAGGGTATATATATTGTCCTTGGCTTTAATCTCTGTCCATTTGGCAGTAGGTTAAAGCTCCTTTGCATATTTTTAGCAGCTTGGCAAGTTGATGTGTTCAGCTCAGACTGAAATTCTCTCTGTATAATGAGCTCCACATATTTTCTAGAACTATATTGGCTTTAAGTAGCAGAAATTCTCCTAGGAAGCTTCGGTAAAAGCAAAAACCAAGTTTAAGATGAAGATGCAAAAGTATATCTTGGAAACTGATGAGCAATAGAAACCATTGGTCACTTTCTTTGTCTCTTCTTTGCCTTGTGTTTGCTTCCTGCCATTCTCTTCCTGTCTCCCACCCTCCTCTTCTTGTTTCTGGCCAGTCTTCTCTAATTCATTCAACTCTCCTGCTATTCCAGCTGGTGTGGTCTGAACCATGACCATCATTAGCTCTCAAATAATGTGTCTTCTGTGGTGCGGCTAACCTGACTGATCTGAAATCTTCTTTTCAAATCTAAATTACCTAGGAAAGGAGTTTATTGGCTTAGTTATTTTTCTCCCATGGTGCAGTCAGCTGTTTCCCATGCAGTGCAGTCACATGGTATCAAAATAATCATTACCCACATGGAGGGGAGAAAAATGGTTCTCCGAGAAGTGTGTGCCATATGGTGGTGGGGCAAGGCAGGGGCTGAGGGGTAGGCAGGAGGGAGCTGGATTGGCAGTCTACTTACTAGGTGTTTATTCACTGTTATCCAGTGTGAACTCCTCTACCCTAGCTCCTTATACCTAGCTCCTTAACGATAGAAACAAATGGGAGAATGGAAAGTTCCGTCCACAGTAAACACTGCTGATAAGGCTCTTCTTGTTTCCATCATTGTCTACTCCTGACCCACCTGGTAGAAATTTCAGTTTCCAATTTTCCACCTGCCATTGCCAATTCCCTCATGTGCTGTTTATTGAAATTTGGAGTTTCTAACTGGATATAGGGAACTGGTATTGGATGGATAAGGGAATGTGTGAGGTTTGGAGCAATTTTCTGGTTTATTTTTTAAGGCATAGACAAAGAGGAAGGATGAAAAGGAGTATTTCTACTTATTTCCAGGTGGGTGGTGTCATAGCACAGGTGGCTCACAGTCCTGTTGTCCTTGTCATCGATGAAGATTTATTACAGATTTAGTAAGCTTTCACTTCTTGTTTACAATATTGTGAGTTTTCATCCTTTTTATTTTCTTAATTTGGTATTATATTTTGAAAGCGGAAGTGAGGCCAGTGTTAGGGTCCCTAACCCTAATCTGTTTAAAACTGAATATTGATTATACTATAATTTATTGGCCAAATGATTTCATTCTGTTTTGAAATAGATTGTTACCATTTTTATTTTTTTTACTAAGGAATCAGCATATACTTCAGTGTATACATAAAAAGACAAAACAATGATCATAATGAAAAACTACAGTTACACCTTTGGACTATAGAGTTTTCTCTCCTTTAATTTACATGTATTAGAAATGCTTTGCTAACTGAGAAGGACTAATTTTTCTATTAACTTGATTTTTCTTTATATGTAATTTCTGAATAGCAGAGCACTTTTAAACATAATTAAAAATAAAATAGGTTAAATAATTTAAAAAGTGATGCATTATTAAAAATAACCAGAATATCCATCTGTTGTGGCTAAATACATAATTTGTTTTAAAATATGGGTATGAAAAATACAGTAATTCATAAAATCAGCATGGGAAATAACTAAAAACTTTAAATAGGCTTTCCCACCTGGCTACTATTTTTGAAACGCTAGCAGGCTATAAAAGGAAATCAGTATTTGATAAAAAATTAGAAAACTGAGTAGAGATTTAGTTAAGTAAACCAAGAAAAGGATTTTTAAAATATGAATGGAATAGTATCAACACTATTTTGTAGAAGAATATTAATAAAGCCTACCAAGAGAGTACTGAAGTATTTTGTGCATTTTAAATGCTGTTGATTCTTCTAGGTAATGATGCTCTATTATAAGAAGAGTCAATATTTGTATGACACAAGATTAAACAATAGATTGTCTGAATTGGCCTCATTCGTTTGACTTGCAGGATAATATCCTCTGAATTGAGAAGCATATATTAATATTCATTTTGAGTTCTGAAGTGCCAAATTAGGCTATGAATCCAGACTAAAATAGAGTACTGCAAATTTGAAAGCACAACAGCCAATGTTTAAGGGGTGCTGTGGTTTGTATATGGTTTGTTTGGCCCCTTCCAGTCTCATGTTGAAATTTGATCCCCAGGGGTGGAGGTGGAGCCTGGTGGGTGGTGTCTGGCCCATGGGGGTGGATTTCTCATGAATGGCTTGGTGCCATTCTCCTCATAGTGAGTGAGTGTCACTCTATTGCTCCCTGCAAGAGTTGCTTGTTAAAAGAGCCTGGCACCCTTGCCTTCTCTCTCTTGCCTCCTCTCTCATCATGTGATTTCTGTACATGCAGCTCCCCTTCACCTTTCAATGTGAGTGGAAGCAGCTTGAGGCCTCACCAGAAGCTGAGCAGATGCTGACACCATGTTTCTTGTACAGCCTATAGAACTGTGAGCCAGATAAATATCTTTTCTTTATAAATTACCCAGCCTCAGGTATTTCTTTATAGCAACACAAATGAACCAAGACAAGGGGTCAGAAAACAAATAGCAAAATTCATGATGGCCAATAAGTTTCAGCTTCAACTGCTGAAGTGGAAGAATGCTTGGTAATGGGAATGAGAAATCCCTAACAGGGGGAAAAAATGGTAAGTTGGATAAAGCTTGGACAAAGAGATAATGTATTTGAAATATCTTATGTAATAGAAATGTAAATTGTGAGACATAATAATAATAAAATAAACTTATCCGGAGCAACCATCCAATCTTTTTTTTTTTTTTTTGAGACAAGGTCTTGCTCTGTTGCCCAGGCTGGAGTGCAGTGGCGTGATCTTGGCTCATTGCAACCTACGCCTCCTGGGTTCAAGCGTTTCTCTTGCTTTAGCCTCCCGAGTAGCTGGGATTACAGGCATGAGCCACCACACTCAGCTAATTACAACCGCCCAATCTTAGCAAGAGACTTTTACCAAGTATTTCTTTCAGTAGATACTGCCCATGTCTTCTTTACAGGAGGTCTGAGCTGAATTTTGTGATCATCATTCTCTTTCTTCTCATTATAATTTTACCAAGTACAAATGCATCACTAAGCCATGCATTATTCAGTTTCACAGCTTCTGAATTTTAAGAACTGATTTCATTGTATATATATGAATTTTGAAATTTGCTTCTGTCACTCAACATTTTAAAGATTCATTCTTGTTGATGTATAAACCTGTAGTCCATTCACTTTTACTGTTGTATAGGATTCTACCTTATGAGTATGTCATAGTTTATCCATTCCCCTGTTGATGGGCATTTTTTTTATAATTTTAAAAACAGGAACAATGCTCCTATGAACATTCTTGTTTATGTTACTGGGCACATATGTATGTGTTCTCCAGAACAGCACTGTGTAACCAAACTTTCTGCAGTGATGGACGTGTTCTATGTCTATGCTATCCAGTATTGCAGCCAATACTCACAGGGGCTTTTGAGTACTTGCAATGTGGCTAATACAACTTAGGAACTGAATTTCTATTTAACTTTCTTTAAAAAGCATGGATTTTATGCACTTAATATAAAAAAAATCAATCTATGGGGTGTTGAAATTAATTTCTCTTGATGCAAAGATTGAGGGGAAGAGGGACAATACATGTCATTTAGAGCTTCATTATATATTTTTATTACTATTGTATTTGTAATATATTAATATTTCTTTATTTTTTCCTAATGTTGTTTTTCTGCTCCAAGATCCCATTCAGGATCCCACGTTACATTAATCATCATGTTTCCTTAGGCACTTCCTGGCTGTGACAGTTTCTCAGACTCTCCTTGTTTTTGATGACTTTGAAAATTTTGAGTACTTGTCATATATTTTGCATAATGTCACAGTATTGGGATTTGTCTGATGTTTTTCTTATGATTAGATTGAAGATAAGGGTTTTGGGTAGGAAGAGAAGAGTAGAGTACCATTTTATCACATCATATCAAGAGTATTATACTGTCAACATGGCTTATCACTGTTGACATTGACCTGGCTGAGGTAGGTTTGTCTTTGTCAGGTTTTTCCACTCTGAAGCTACTCTTTACCATTTCTCCCTGCCCCATCTTTCCATATTGTCCTCTTCAGAACAAAGTCACTATGTGCAGCCTACGTTTAAGGAGTGGAAATTATTTGGGATTCTTCTGCAAAAGCTTTGTCTTTTCTCTCTCATTTACTTTCTTATTCAGTAATTAACTTATATTGTATGGATTCATGAACATGTATATTTTAGGTTATAATCTTACTTCATTGCCCAAATTGTTCTAGCTTTGGTCATTGGGAGCTCTTTCAGGTGGTTCCTGTGTCTCTTTGACATACTCCCATCAGTATGCATGTGTATGTGTGTGTACTGATGAGTGTGTGTGTATGTGTGTGTTTTGAGCCCTTTCTTTCTGGCACTGCAAGATGCTCCAGGCTTATCTTGTGTATTTCCTATTCTAGCCCCTAGAATCAGCCATTTCCCCAAAGGACCTGGTTCCTTTTATTGGAAATTGGTATTAGAGACCAACATCCAGGCACTAAGTCTGCTCATTACTACTGCATATATTTTACTCAATTTTAATTAATTAAAATTTACATAGGTGTATGTGGCTAGTGGCTTCTATATTAGACACTACAGCTCTAGGATACATTCTTACAAATAGACTTGCTGAATCGTGGGATATGTGAATGACCCAGTTTATAAGATAATTCCTAATTGTTTTCTAAAGCGTTTGTACCAGTTTATACTCTTACCAACAGTGTTTGAGTTTCTGTGCCTCCTGCTTTCTCACCAATACTTTGTATTCCAAACTACCAAACTTTTGCAGGTTGTAAATATTCAATACTAAAATGTTAATATCAGCATAGATTTTTAAAGTAGAAATTCAATGCCTCTTTTAAAAATTAATTACAAAATTGCATCCAATTGGGTCAAGATCCTAAGGAGACAACCTGTAGCTCTTGAATCATAGCTTTCTTATTACTGATGTATATGATTGAGGCAGATGTGATCATAGGGGGAAAACATAAAGTGTTATGCTTACTCTAGGTTTTTCCTAGATGTCCTTTATTAAGTGATAAAATTTCCCTCTCTTCCTAGTTCGGTGAAGTTTTCATTGAGAATGGATTTTGGCAAATTCTTTTTTTATTGGTTGAAATGATCATGTGATCATTTGGTGTACCTGATCATATGATCATATGATTTTCCTTTTAGTTTCTTACTGGGGTTAATTACAATGATTAACAGTGTAACTGAGAATTTTTAAATTATACAATTTGGGCTGGGCGTGGTGGCTCACGCCTGTAATCCCAGCACTTTGGGAGGCCAAGGCAGGCAGACCACGAGGTCAAGAGATTAAGACCATCCTGGCCAACATGGTGAAACCCTGTCTACTGAAAATACAAAAATTAGCTGGGTGTGGTGGTGCATGCCTGTAGTCCCAGATTCTTGGGAGGTTAAGGCAGGAGAATCGCTTGAACCTGGGAGGCATAGGTTGCAGTGAGCCGAGATCACGCCACTGCACTCCAGCCTGGAGAAAGAGTGAGACAGTCTCAAAAAAAAAAAAAATTATACAGTTCATCCATTGAAAATGTACAGTTGAAATGTTTTAAAGTATACAATTCAATAGTTCTTGGTACACTTCAACCATTACTATAATCAATTATGGATCATTTTTATCACTCCAAAACCCTATACCCATTGGCAGTCACTCCCTATTTCTCCCCACTTCCCTCTTCCTTGAGTCTCTAGGCAACTACTAATCTACTTTCTGTCTGTATGGCTTTGCCCATTCTAGACATTTCATATAAATGGAATCTTACAATATGTGGTCCTCTGTGACTGAGTTCTTTTACTTAACATAATACTTTCAATTTTAATTCATGTAGTATGTATCAGTACTTCATTTTTCTTTATTGCTAAATAATATTCCATTGTATAATATACCACAGTTTATTTAGCACTTATCACCTGACAAATTGGTTAACCTTTGAACATAAACCAAACTTGTATTTCTGGGATAAACTCAATTTGGTCAGGATATACTATACTATTTATAAATTGTGGGATTCAATGTGTTAAAATTTGTTTAGAACTTTTGCATATATATCATGAGGGATACTAGTTATAAAGGATAAAATTTTGTTTTCTTGTAATGTTTTTGTATAGTTTGGGTGTCAGGATAATGCTGGCTCCATACAATGAGTTGGGAAGTGGTCCTTCCTCTTCGATTTTCTGGAAGAGTGTGTTTGTAGAATTGGTATTATTTCTTCCTCAAATATTTGGCACAATTTGGTGAAACTTCTAAGCTTGGAGTTTTATTTATGGAAAGGACTTTAAAAATTTAATTTCTTTGATATATGGAGCATCTTGTAAGGCCTACTAGAAGAAAATTAGGGGTTCTTTTGTGGATGATCTCTTCTTAAACCTGACATGACATTTTTGTGATGGTCAAGCATGTGCCTTTATCTTTTTGGACATTCTATACTTATTATAATTGATTTAATGATAAATTTCCAGGTACACCAAACAGCCTTAGAAGTTGACTTCCCCTGTGGCATGCCTGCAAGGAAAATACATTGACCAAAGGATTTGAGTGATAGGTCCTCTCTGCAGTCATTTTTTAAAATGGAAATCAATAAACTCGTATTCTTATTTTGTGTGTTAGTTTTGTGAGCTTGGTTAATGTGATTTCCCCTATTTGTACTGACTGACATACCATCATCATCAACCTGCAAAGGTTGAACTGTGGCAAGTTAATTAAAGGCTTGACACTCTATGAAGACACTTGGGAGTTTGGAGGGTACTTGCTTTTGCTTATTCAACTCCTTTCCCTCTAAATTATTGTGAAGGTTAACACACTCCTTTCCTTCTAAATTATTGTGATGGTTAACACACTCCTTTCCCTATTTGAATTTCTAAACCTGCAATATGAAATATAATTCAGAGGGAAAATCATTTAGTTCTGTTCAGTTGATATTAGAGGAGAAAATACGTATAAAAGTTTTGATAGTATTTACAAATTTAGCATTCAACAAATAAAAATTCAAATTCTTCATGAATTTTTGCTCTGGTTAAGGCATTACTACATGAAAAGATGCATCGTGCTGGAGAAGAAAATCAATATTGGCCTGTGAAAAACCCAAGTGAAAATATCTTGAACGACATATGACATTCAATAGAAACTTCGCAGGTATGGATATCTGACTGTCCAGTGAAAGGAAATAAGGATCCTTGACCTTCCGTAGATCATAGGCCATGAGAGAAGTTTTGGAACAGTGAACAAAAGAGCAGGAATTAAATGAGAAATTTATTATTCCCCTTAAAAAAGCTATTGAAAGTTAGTAAACCAAAAGTGTCCAGAATAAAACTCCAAACATGTCAAAATGCTAGGTTCTAATGCCTGACTTCTAAATAGTAAGCACAAGAATACATTACTTTTACCATATTTAATTAGTCTATATTATGTAATATCATAAGAGATGTCACTATGATGGAAGTAGGTGCAATGTACAAAGCACACACATGCATTCAGGCAGCCGTTCCCAGTCTTCTTAGCACCAGGGACTGGTTTCATGGAAGGCAGTTTTTCATGGGGTTGGGGTGTGGGTGGATGGGGGATGGTTTCTGGATGATTGAAGTGCATTACATTTATTGTGCACTTTCTTTCTACTATTATTGCATTGTAATATATAATGAAATAATTTTACAACTCACCATAATGGAGAATCAGTGGGAGACCTGAGTTCATTTACCTGCAGCTAGATGGTCCCATCTGTGGGTAATGAGATACAATGACAGATCATCTGACATTAGATTCTTATAAGGGGCCCACAACCTAGATTGCTTGCATGAGCAATTCACAGCAGGGTTTGCACTCCTGTGAGAATCTAATGCCACTGCTGATCCAACAGGAGGTGGAACTCAGGTGGTAATGCCAGTGATGGGGAACCAATGAAGCTTTGCTCACTCGCCCACTGCTCACTTCCTGCTATGTGGCTTGGTTCCTAACTGGCCAGGAACGTGGTGGTGGTCTGTGGCCTGGAGGTTAGGCACCCCTGCATTAAGTGATTTTACCTTGATTTCTTTGGTTGAATTTGCAAATGGAGTTTATAATTCTACTTATGTGAAGGACCTCAAAGTAGATGTTTAACGTTTTCTCATATTTTTCTTATTTAGATATTTTTAGATTTTTGTTTAGATTTTTTATTTTAGATGTTGTGACTATTTTTAATTTTATACCAGTTACCTCCAATGTCATTTTTCAATGTCTCATTTACCTGATGTCATTTGCTAAATATTCCAAAAATAAACCACATCTTGCCAGCATAACTGCTGAAAGAAAAAAAAAAGATTTTTTTTAAGTTATAAGGGCAGATCTTATTATGTATAGGAGAGGAAGTTAGAACAATAGAAAATCTCATATATGGAAGGTAGGAGTATAAATTGATACGATGAGTTTGAAGAATAATTTGGCGCTATCTAGCAGGTCTAAAGATGCATATACCCTGTGACCAGCAATTTTATACTTCATTCCCATGATCTGAAGAAGGTATCTATCTACCTATCTGTCTGTCTGTCTATCATCTATCTATTAAATATCTATTTTTTCTTATCTAAAAATATGACTATTTATTACTATTCTTTGCAATTAAACTGAAACCAATAGAGGTGGCCATTAATAGGAAAAATGAGTAAACTGTCACATATTCTTACAAGTGAACATTAATGGCAATTAAAGAGAGTAAACCAGACCTTTAGCAACATGCATAAATTGCAAAAACAAAACTTTAAGCAAAAAATAGAAGTGTGTAAGCCTATATAAAGAATAATAGAATGTATGCATAGTTGGGATACTTGTAAAACAATACTATATGGTTTAATAATACACATTGTTACACCATGAGGTGTAACAACATGGGTGGGATAAATAATGCCAGATTCAGTGACTACCACTGGGAAGAAGAGAGGTGCACGATTTTCTATCTGCTATGTCTTGTTTGTTTATTTGCTTTTAGCTAGGTAGGTACACCTAGTTCATTGTTATTATTTTCTGTGTATTTTGTATGACTGAAAATGTTTCCTAATAAGAAAAAAATCATTTTTAGGCTATTACTTCTATAGTGCTCATTGCCCAGAGAAGAACTATTTGTATCATAGACAGTTAATCCTCTAGCCCTTAAATATGAAAAATCCAAATTTTGGGGGATCTTTACCTAGGTTGTCAGTTTTATTTGCAGCAAAATATACAAAACTTGAAAATATACTAATGTAACTCTGAAATACCACTACTGGAAAATGTTTCATAACATTCCAATGACCCTCCGTCAGTTTGGGTAATAAGAATGCAGGGAGAGTATGAAGAGTATGTCTTTTCACCACTTTATCCTTCTCTACTTTTATTACTGGGGATTGCATAGCAGTCTGACATACATAATACTGAGGCAGACACAAAGCATTATTCTGTAAGAGTAGTATTGCATTATTACCATGATGCATGTGAACTTACAGAACAGCTAAATAGATGAAGTTTGTGCCTTGCTTTGATGTTCTTATATTCTGCCCTCTTTCACCCTATGTTCTGTCTTCTCAGAGTTTGTTAAGGAAGTGATAGTTCTCAGACTTACACACTTTTAAATATTCCATGCTCTAAAATTATCATCCCCTTACCAGGAAATAAAGCTCAATGGTATAAGTTAAGCAAACAGACCTCAGTTAGTACCATATAAGGGTCATATATACTGTATATGAGATAATATACCTTGAGCTACTCTATAAATTTAATCAATTTAATGAACTAATTACTATGCTGTACTATTTTTCTATTTGTAGTAAAATTGGAAATTGGACTAGTTAATCTTTAAGATATTTTCTAGCTCGAACATATGCATAATTCTATTTTATTTCCCCAATCTGCAATATTCTAAGGTATTACTAGGTGAAGTTAAGTAAACATGGCAGAGGAGACAGATTTAAGAATACAGGTCAGAAAAATCTCTCTTTTCTTTTAAAGGACTCACATCTAGGAATAGATAAATGGAACAAACAAAACCAGAACAACACACAGTAAAATATGAAATGCTGTTTTTCTTCAAAGTGATTTGCTATTATTACCTATTGTATATTGGGCACCTGTATATATCACCTCTAAGCCTTGGAGTAATGAAAGATGTGATAATTATCCCTACTTTATGTTGATAAAATAAAGATTCAGATAAATTAAGGAAAATATCAAAGTTAACCAGATAATAAATAGATGCAGAATTATAGTTTAATTCATGTTGTCTGCATATAGAGATGATGCTTAGTTCACTATACTATATTGCCTGCATTACATGCACTTTCTAATTGATTTCTTAGAATTATTTTTAAATAAAAAAGTAATCTTGCATTATATGCCTGTTGCCATTCAATATAAACAATAAAAAATAAAGGAATGAAAGCAAAAGTATCCCTTCATAGCCTACTTCCCCTCAGCATTCTCATTTCTTCGTTTACAATTTCAGATCATGCCACACACATTATTCTTTGACTTCTTTTTTAATGGGAAAGTATTTCTTGTGATTATTTCCTATCTGTTCATATAAACCTACTTCAGTGAACCACACCGTAATTTATTTAATTTTTTATTTCCTTATTTTTGGATACAAATTGTTTCTATTTTTTTATAAAATGCTCCAATAAATATATTCACATATATAAATTATCCCTTGTGCAAATTTCTCCTGTAGGAGAGTTTCCTGAAAGTCATGTGCTATGTCGTTTGAGCTCATGAACTCCAAAGCCTATTCTCCCCATCTCACTCATGCCAAAGTTAATTATTTATTTTCCCTCCCTCTTTCCTTCCCTTCTTTTATGAAGCTTGTTTCACTAATGACTTGCTAAAGTCTGCTTTCTTGCAAAATTCTGCCTCAGTGTTTTTAACTCTTTAAAAATTCCAAGGATTGTTACTTAAAATTTTGCCTTAAAATTTAACATTAAAAAATGATTATAGCAAAAAACAACATTGTGTGCTAATGGCCTATATTACATAAATGCCCCAATAATGAATATTATTTTAATCTGTTTTATGGGCATTCTAGGTAAATAAGGATCGACCCTTGAGTGTGTAATATCTACTAGTAGATGTTAGTTTCTTTTATAGAATTTAAAAAATGATTTAGAAGAAATGATTTAGAAATTAAAGAGGAAGAATATAATAAAATAATGGAATGAAAGTGGATTTTAGAGACAAATTTGAATATCAGTTCTATCATCCCTTAGTTCTGTGGCTTTGGACAAATAATTAATTTTTTTTTTTACTGTCATAGTACTTTAAATTAAGAGTAGTAGTAATAAGAATAAAACTAATAATACTAAATATATTAAAACTTTGTCTAAGGCAGCATTTTGCAAAGTAATTTCACTTGAACCTAAAAAAAAATAGTTTCACGATCAAGTTAACATAAGAAACCTTGAGATAAAAACTTGTATTGCTTTTTTTTTTCACACTATAGATCTCAGATGATTTAATATATGAATATGTTTCAGGAACCTGAACATCAAGAAATAGTTTGAACCAGTCTCTAAATGATCCCCAAAGCCTAGTGTTTTTTAAACACTTTAGAGGACTTGAGCTGCAAATAACATATTTTTGGGAAATACTTGTAATATTTAAACATAACCGGCCGGGCGCGGTGGTTCACGCCTGTAATCCCAGCACTTTGGGAGGCCGAGGCAGGCGGATCACAAGGTCAGGAGATCGAGACCATCCTGGCTAACACGGTGAAACCCCGTCTCTACTAAAAATACAAAAAAATTAGCCGGGCGTGGTGGTGGGCGCCTGTAGTCCCAGCTACTCGGGAGGCTGAGGCAGGAGAATGGCGCAAACCCAGGAGGCGGAGCTTGCAGTGAGCCGAGATTGCGCCACTGCACTCCAGCCTGGGCGACAGAGCAAGACTCCGTCTCAAAAAATAAATAAATAAATAAATAAATAAATATAAAATAAACATAACCTATATAAAATTTCTGGAATATTTTAGATACTCAGTAATGGTTTCTATTACTATTATAAATCAATTTTAAAAATATAAAACAAAGGGCTATATAGGAGAGCTAATGGGCATTGGAGAAGAGGGAATACGAACAATATAATTAATAAAGAACACCCTCCCACAAAGTTTTAGGAGAAATTTTACCCAATAAATGAGCTTTAAAATGTAGCAAAGATTTGTGAAGTTTAGAAAGTAAGCATCAGAGGTATTAGTTTTCAACACAAATGTATTGAATTTCTCCTGTCTTTTCCATCATTGTCCTATGTGTGAGCGTATTAGCCTGAGAATAAAGAGCTCTAAAATCTTTAAACACAAAAGACAATAGAATGATGGCCTTGATGACAAGAAATGGGGCGGACACTATAAAAACAGGCATGTTGAGAATGGGATAATTAAAAAAAGAAATTGGTAGGTGCTCTTTGTTTCTAGAGTTTGGTATATTTGTTTGCTTTTTTTTTTTTTAACACATTGATGGATTCTAGTGAAATAATGATCTCTGTTGATAATTTATTAATTCAGGCCATTTGCTATAAATACAGTAGGCGTCTATGGATTATTTCTGGTATCTTCTAATTGTCTAGTGCTTCTGATGTTATTCTATTGATTGAACTTTTCCATTGTGTGTCCCAAAGGCAGAGAAGGGCAAACAACAATCATGAAATATGAATGAGATGCCTCATTAACCTTTGGGCTTTTGAGTACTTGGAAGCATCTAATCTATGTCATTGGCAAGAAAAGCCTGGAAGCACTGCAGGAGGTAGAGGGGAGAGAGGAAGGACAGTTTCCTTTGTGGTTGGTAAACTCTTGTATGCCAAGTGCTGGTGAGGTGCCTGCTCTCACACAACAGGATCCTGCATTAAACTAGAGACTCTGAAATCTTAGTGGACATAAATGTGATGCAGAAAGCTTGCTGACATTTAGATCACGTTGTATCCCCAAAGATTCTGATTCAGCAGCAGAGGCTAGATTTCCATAATCTGCACTTTCACAGGCACTCAGGCGATTACAGTCCAGGTGATCCATGGACTACACTTGGAAGAATATCAGACCCACTCAACAAAGAGGAATTAAGCTGACAAAATTAGATTTCTTGTGTGTGTTATTATTTTTTTTTACCAGAACATGTAGAACTGCTTTTATTTTTGTATATTTTTCATTTCAGATAAATTTCCTGTAAGTTTGTTTGAGTTCATTGTAGATTCTGGATATTAGCCTTTTGTCAGATGAGTAGGTTGCAAAAATTTTCTCCCATTTTGTAGGTGGCCTGTTCACTCTGATGGTAGTTTCTTTTGCTGTGCAGAAGCTCTTTAGTTTAATTAGATCCCATTTGTCAATTTTGGCTTTTGTTACCATTGCTTTTGGTGTTTTAGACATGAAGTCCTTGCCCATGCCTATGTCCTGAATGGTAATGCCTAGGTTTTCTTCTAGGGTTTTTATGGTTTTAGGTCTAATGTTTAAGTCTTGAATCCATCTTGAATTAATTTTTGTATAAGGTGTAAGGAAGGAATCCAGTTTCAGCTTTCTACATATGGCTAGCCAGTTTTCCCAGCACCATTTATTAAATAGGGAATCCTTTCCCCATTGCTTGTTTTTCTCAGGTTTGTCAAAGATCAGATAGTTGTAGATAATGCAGCGTTATTTCTGAGTGCTCTGTTCTGTTCCATTGATCTATATCTCTGTTTTGGTACCAGTACCATGCTGTTTTGGTTACTGTAGCCTTGTAGTATAGTTTGAAGTCAGGTAGCGTGATGCTTCCAGCTTTGTTCTTTTGGCTTAGGATTGACTTGGCAATGCGGGCTCTTTTTTGGTTCCATATGAACTTTGAAGTAGTTTTTTCCAATTCTGTGAAGAAAGTCATTGGTACCTTGATGGGGATGGCATTGAATCTATAAATTACCTTGGGCAATATGGCCATTTTCATGATATTGATTCTTCCTATCCATGAGCATGGAATGTTCTTCCATTTCTTTGTATCCTCTTTTATTTCAGTGAGCAGTGGTTTGTAGTTCTCCTTGAAGAGGTCCTTCATGTCCCTTGTAAGTTGGATTCCTAGGTATTTTATTCTCTTTGAAGCAATACAAGAAAAAAAACAAACAACCCCATCAAAAAGTGGGTGAAGGACATGAATAGACACTTCTCAAAAGAAGACATTTATGCAGCCAAAAAACACATGAAAAAATGCTCACCATCACTGGCCATCAGAGAAATGCAAATCAAAACCACAATGAGATACCATCTCACACCAGTTAGAATGGCAATCATTAAAAAGTCAGGAAACAACAGGTGCTGGAGAGGATGTGGAGAAATAGCAATACTTTTACACTGTTGGTGGGACTGTAAACTAGTTCAACCATTGTGGAAGTCAGTGTGGCAATTCCTCAGGGATCTAGAACTAGAAATACCATTTGGCCCAGCCATCCCATTACTGGGTATATACCCAAAGGACTATAAATCATGCTGCTATAAAGACACATGCACATGTATGTTTATTGCGGCACTATTCACAATAGCAAAGACTTGGAACCAACCCAAATGTCCAACAACGATAGACTGGATTAAGAAAATGTGGCACATATACACCATGGAATACTATGCAGCCATAAAAAAGGATGAGTTCATGTCCTTTGTAGGGACATGGATGAAATTGGAAATCATCATTCTCAGTAAACTATGGCAAGGACAAAAAAACCAAACACCGCATGTTCTCACTCATAGGTGGGAGTTGAACAATGAGAACACATGGACACAGGAAGGGGATCATCACACTCTGGGGACTGTTGTGGGGTTGGGGGAGGGGGGAGGGATAGCATTAGGAGATATACCTAATGCTAAATGACGAGTTAATGGGTGCAGCACACCAGCATGACACATGTATACATATGAAACTAACCTGCACATTGTGCACATGTACCCTAAAACTTAAAGTATAATAATAATAATAATAATAAATTTCCTACCAAAGTACATAATATTTTGAGTTAAAGTTATTATTTCCGTATCACCAGAAGCTATTTCATCTACAAAGAAGTCATTGCCATGTGGACTATTTAGGGCTTGTCTTTTCAGATTTTACAGTGGCCTTGCAGATGTATAGTCATTATTGTGTGAACACTGTCTATTGCAGGGAGAAAACTCAAAAACTTAATATTTTCAAGTGTTAACAAAAATGCTACGTGATACCAGAAGCTGACAACATATGACATCAATGTAAATAGTAGATAGAGCTATTAACCATGAGGTGATAAGCAGAGTAAAATAACAGCACAAGAAGATAGAAAGCCCAGTTTTGTAGGAGGCAGGTGGAAGTACTTAAAAGAAGAAGAAAGTGAAAGTTGTTTTCAATTACCTGCCCTGAAACAACTTTTCTGGTTCTCTCACAAACCATCTGTAGTGTCTTAGATTAATGAGAACTGGGGAGGTGAATTATTTGACTCAACGTCTTCTTCCTACCTTCTCTTTTCTTTGTCTGCCGTAACCTCTCTGATTCCATAGCTTTTCCTTTTATAGCTAAAAGCCTAGTTAATTGCTTGTATCACAGTCACTTTCTCATGCTCACCCTGTAGTCTTTAATCTCATTTTTTTACCCCTTTACACTCCTGCCTCATGCCTCTTGAAAATCTATAATCACCTTCCTCTTTCTCTCTTCAATTGAGGTCAAAGAATAACAACACAATTGTTAAGCATAAGAATTATGACAGAGATGTGCATTATAATAAGAAAAAGAAAAGTCATATGTTCTGAAATACTAGCTATAATAATGATAAGCAAAACAGTGTCATTGGGATATAAAGGGCCTTGAAAATACTCAGAACATTTGCAGAATTCCTAAAATAGTCTCCATCTACCAGCTCATTCTCCACTAATTAAAATTGCTTTGCCTCAAGGAGTCACTTTCAAGATAAACTATGTTCAATTAGATAAGCTATATTCTATAATTTTTTACTTTTATTCCACTTCAGACTTGTATTGCTTCCTTTTTCATATATACACACTTTTTTTTTTTTCAGAGACAGAGTCTTGCTCTCTTGCCCAGGCTGGAGTGCAGTGGCATGATCTCAGCTCACTGCAACCTCCGCCTCCCAGGTGCAAGAGATTCTCCTGCCTCGGCCTCCCGAGTAGCTGGGAATACAGGCGCCCGCCACCATACCCAGCTAATTTTTTTGAAATTTTAGTAGAGACAGGTTTCACCGCACACACACTTCTTAATTGTTTTAATATTTTAAATAAAAGGTAAACCAGGTTTTCTTAGAAGAATTGAGAGATTTTGATTCATCTGAAAACATTGACTTTGTAGGAAAAAGCCTTTCTAGTTCTAAAGACTGTCTTTTAATGAACTTCAGAACACCACATAGTAAAAAAAAACATCTGAGAGGTTAGGACAGGACATGAGAAGTTAACTCTGTTCCTACATTCTGCAGAAACAGAATCGGAAAGGTTATGGTCACATAGCTAATTAGTTGCACAGTTATCAGTGGAACCCATATTTTGTAATGTGATTTCTTTATATCATGCTGCACATTTATAATTTGGTTTCATCTCTAGAGAGATTGTGTTGTTTAATGCCTATATCAAACATTTATTGTGCTACTACTACGTGCGTGGAGCCACGCTAAATATCTGAAATACCAAGATGAGAAAAACAAGTTTCTGCTCCCATGTCATTCACAGTAAATGTTTATAGTGTTATTATGTTTTCCCTTTATTTTAAGTTGGCACATAACAATTATATGTATTTATGGGACACAGTGATATTTTAATACATAGGATTTGTGTATCAGTGATCAAATTAGGATAATTCACATATCCATTACCTTGAACATTTATCACTTTGTATGTCGTGAACATTCAGAATTCTCTCTTCTAGCCTTTTGAAATATACACTAAACTGTTGTTAACCATGTACACCCCACAGTGCTACAGAACACTAGAACTTATTACTTTCAACTAACTATAACTTGTCTTTGTTAACAAACCTCTCCCTACTCTACTCCTCTCCCTAGCTAGCATTCCTGTTCTCTAATGACTACAATTCTACTCTCTACTTCTATGAGCTCAATTTTTTTTTTAACCTCCACATATGAGTGAAAACGTGGTATTTACCTTTCTGTGCCTGTCTTATTTCACTTAACATAATGTGCTCCAGGCTTATCAATGTTGCTGCAAATGAGAAGATTTCATTTTTTATGGCTGAGTAATATTCCATTTTTTATGGCTGAGTAATATTCCATTGTATATATATGCCACATTTTATTTATTCATCTGTTGATAGATATTTTGGTTGATTTCAAACCTTAGCTATCATGAATAGAGCTGCAATAAACATGAGAGTGAAAACATCTCTTCGATGTACTGATTTCTTTTCCTTTGGTTAAATACCCAGTAGTGGGGTTGCTGGATCATATGGTAGTTCTAGTTTTAGTCTTTTGAGAAAACGCCACGCTGTTTTCCATAATGGCTATGTTAATTTACATTCCCACCAACAGTGTATGAGTTCTCTTTTCTTTGCATCCTTGCTAGCACTTGTTATTTTTTGTCTTTTTGACAGTTGTCATTCTAACTGGGGCAAGATGGTATTCCATTGTGGTTTTGATTCGCATTTACCTGATTATTAGTAATGTTGAGCATTTTTTCATATGTTGCATGTTCATTTGTATGTCTTTTTTGGAGAAATTTCTATTCAGATCCTTTGTCCATTTTTAATCAAATCATTTGTTATGTTGTTGCTGTTGAGTTTTTGAATATTTTGGATATTAGTCCCTTGTTGGTTGAATAGTTTGCAAATATTTTCTCTCATTCTACAGTTTGTTTCTTCACTCTGTTGACTTTTTCCTTTGCTGTGCAAAAGCTTTTAGTTAGATATAATTTCACTGGTCAATTTTTTGTTTTTGTTGCCTATGCTTCTGAAATCTTACTCATAAAATCTTTGCCTATATCAGTGTTCTGAAGCATTTCTCCTATGTTTTCTTCTGGTAGTTATATAGTTTAGGATCTTATGTTTGTCTGTAACCCATTTTGACTAGATTTTTAAAAATGGGGTGAGAGATAAAGGTCTTGTTTCATTCTTCTGTATATGGAGATCCTGTTTTCCCAGCACCATTTATTGAAGAGGTTGTTCTTTCCCCAGTATATGTTCTTGGTGCTTTTGTCAAAAAAAGAGTTGGCTAGTGGGGCACCATGGCTCACACCTGTAATCCTAGCACTTTGGGAGGATGAGGCACGTGGATTTCTTCAGCCCAGGAGTTTAAGACCAGGCTGGACAACAAAGTGAAACTCAATTTCTACAAAAAATAGTAAAATCAGCTGGGTGTGGTGGTGCATGCCTGTGGTCCCAACAAAAACAAAAAATTGACCAATGAATTATACTACATTGGCAGCTGAGGCAGGAGAATTTCTTGAGCCCAGGAGATTAAGGCTGCAGTGAATGGTTTTCGCACCATTGCACTCCAGTCTGGGTGACAGAGTGAGCTCCTGTCTCAAAAAAATAAATCAGTTGGCTGTAAGTACGTGGATTTATTTCTGGGTTATCTATTCTGTTCCATTCTATGTGCTTGATTTTATGTCAGTACCATGCTGTTTTGGTTACTATAGCTTTGTAATATATTTTTGTATAACTTTGTATATTTGTAGTATATTTTGATATAATTTTGGCATTGTTTTGCTTCCAGCTTTTTGCTCAGTATTGCTTTGGCTGTTTAGGGTCTTTTGTATTTTCATATAAATTTTATGATTGTTTTTCTATTCTTGTGAATAAGTCATTTGTATTTTGATAGGAATTGCATTGAATATGTAGATGCTTTGGGTGATATGATCTTTATAACAACACTTATTCTTCTAATCCATGAGCATGGAATGTCTTTCTATTTGTGTCCCCTTCAATTTCTTTCATCAGTGTTTTGTAGTTTTCCTTGTAGAGGTCTTTCACCTCCCTGGTTAAATTTATTCATATTTATTTTATTATTATTATTATTTGTAGCTATTGTGAATGAGATTGCTTTCTTGTTCTTTTTTTCAGCCCATTTGTCAGTGGTGTATAGAAATGCTACCAGTTTTTGTATGTTGATTTTGTGTGTTGCAACTTTCCTGAATTCATTTGTCAGTCCTAAAAGTGTTTTGTTAGAGTCTAGGTTTTCTCTATATAAGATCATATCATCTGCAAGGGACAATTTGACTTCCTCTTTCCAGTTGGATGCCCTTTCTTTCTTTCTCTTGCCTAATTGCTCTTATGTTGAGTAAGACTGATGAAAATAGGCATCCTTGTCTTGCTCTAGTTCTTAGAGGAAAGGCTTTTAGCTTTTCCTCATTCAGTATGATGTTAGCTGTGAGTTTGTCATATATGGTCTCTATTGTGCTGAGATGTGTTCCTTCTATACCTACTTTGTTGAGAGTTTTGGTCATGAAGGGATGTTGAAGTTTATCAAATGCTTTTTTCTTCATCTTTTGAAATCATCAGATGGTTTTTGTCCTTCATTTGGTTAATGTAATGTATCATACTTACTGATTTGCGTATGTTGAACCATCCCCACATTCCTAAGGTAAATCCCACTTGATTGTGGTATATTATGTTTTTGATGTCTTATTTGGTTTGCTAGTATTTTGTTGAGGACTTTTGCATGTATGTTTATCAGGGCTTTTAGCCTATGGTTTTCTTTCTGTCTTATTTCTTTTTTTTTTTTTTTAATTCTGTCCTCGTCTGGTTTTGGTATCAGGGTTATGCTGGCCTTGTAGAATTAGTTAGGAAGAAATCCTCCCTCTTTAATTTTTTTGGAATAGTTTGAGAAGAATTTGTGTTCTTTAAAAGTTTGGTAGAATTCAGCAGGAAAGCTATCCAGGCCTAGGCTTTAATGTGTTGTGAGGCATTTTATGACTAATTCAATCTCATTACTCATTATTGGTCTGTTCAGGTTTTCTCTTTCTTGCTGGTTTAATCTTGCTAGGTTGTATGTGTCCAGGAATATATCAATTACCTCTAGGATTTCTCAGTTGTTGGCATATTTATCCATAATAGTCTCTAATGATTCTTTGTATTTTTGTGGTATCAGTTGTAATGTCTCCTTGTTCATTTCTGATTTAATTTTGTGTCTTCTGTTATTCTTCATATAGCTAATGGTTTGTCAATTTTGTTTATCTTTTAGAAAACATTTTGTTTTGTTGACTTTTTGTATTTTATTAGTTTCTATTTTGCTTAGTTCTGGTTTATTCTTTATTATTTATTTCTGCTACTAATTTTGGGTTTGTATTGTTTTCACTTTTCTAGTTCCTTAAAATGCATCATTAAATTCTTTATTTGAAGTTTTTCTACTTTTTAATGTATGGATTTATTGCTATAAAATTCCCTCAGTACTATTTTTGTTGTATCCCATACATTTTGGTATGTCATTTCCAATTTCATTTTTTTCAAGAAACTTTTTGATTTCCCTTTAAATTTTTTAATTGGCCCTTTGGTCATTCAGGGGCATGTTTTTAAATTTTCATGTATTTGCAGTTTCCAGAGTTCCTCTTGTTATTAATTTCTAGTTATATTCCATTATGGTCTAAGAAGATACTTAATATAATTTTTAATTATTTTATTGATATTTGTTCTGTGGTCTTGCATGTGGTTCATCCAGCAGAATATTTCACAAGCTGATGAGAAGAATATGTATTTTGTAGCTTTTGGATAAAATGTTCTGTAAATGT
Source organism: Homo sapiens (assembly GCF_000001405.40). NCBI lineage: Eukaryota > Metazoa > Chordata > Mammalia > Primates > Hominidae > Homo > Homo sapiens. The sequence goes on from NC_000007.14 coordinate 144,999,179, forward strand.
CTTTTAGGTCCATTTTGCTTATCGTGCAGTTTAAATCTGATGTTTCTTTGTTAATTGGCCAACTGGATGGTTTGTCCATTTCTAAAAGTGAGGTGTTAAAGTTCCCAACGATTATTGTATTAAGGTCTATGTCTCTCTTCACCTTTAATAATCCTTGCTTTATATATCTTGGTGCTCTGTATCGAGTATATATATTTACAATTGTTACATCCTCCAGCTAAATTGATTCCTTTTTGTTGTATAATAATTCTGTCTCTTTTTGTTTTTATTAAAGTCTGCTTTAGCAAAGTGTAGCTACTCCTGCATGCTTTTGATTTCCATTGCATGGACTATCCTTTTTCATTCCTTCACTTTCAGTCTCTACATGTCTTTACAGGTGAAGTGTGTTTCTTGTAGGCAGCATATAGTTGGGTCTTTTTTGATTCATTCATTCAGCCTATAGCTTTTAATTGAGGAATTTGAACTATTTACATTCAAGGTTGTTATAGACTGGTGAGGACTGGCTCCTATCACTTTGTTAGATAGCTTCTGATTGTTTTGCATATCCTTATTTTCTTTCATCTTCTCCTATTGTTTATTTTTGGATTTGGTGGTTTTCTGTAGTGATAAGGTTTAATTCCTTTTGCTTCCATATTGTATATTTGCTCTACCAGTGAATTTTATTTATACTTCCATGTGTTTTCATGATGGTAGATATCATCCTTTCGCTTTCAGTTGTAGGACTTGCTTAAGCATTTCTTGTAGGAATAGTCTAGTAGTGATGAAATCTCTCAGTTTTTGTTTGTCTGGTAGAGACTCATTCTCTTTCATTTCTGAAGAATAGCTTTGCTGAGTATAGTATTCTTGGCAGCCATTTTATTTTTCTTTCATCACTTTGACTATATCATCTCGTCCTTTCCTGGCCTATATGGTTTCTGCTGAGAAATCTACTGTTAATATGATGGAAATTCCCTTATATGTGACTTGATGATTTTCTCTTGCTGGTTTTATAATTATTCATTTTGTCTTTGACTTTGATAACTTTGAAATTTTGGAGTTAAATTTATTTGGAGAATTTTGAACTTCCTGTATCTGGATGTCTATATTTCTCAAAAGACTTGGAAAGCTTTTAGTTATTATTTCATTAAATAGGTTTTCTATGCCTTCTCCTATTTCTTCTCTCCCTACAAAATTTGAATGTTTATTTGCTTCATGTTGTCCTGTATGTCATGTAGACCTTATTATTATTCTTTATTAATCATTTTTAGACAGAATCTCTCTGTCACACAGTGTCACAATCATGGCTGATTGCAGTCTTGACCTCCCAGGCTCAAGCAATCCTTCCACCTCAGTCCCCCACCCCCAGGTAGCTGGGATCACATGCACCACCATGCCCAGTTAATTTTTTAAAATTTTAGTAGACATGAAGTCTTGCTATGTTTTCCCAGGCTGGTCTCAAACTCCTGAGCTCAAGTGATCCTCCAGCCTTGGCTTCCCAAAGTGTTATGATTACAAGTGTAAGCCACTATGCCCAGCCTTCTTCATTCTTTTTCATTCTTGTATTTTTTATTTTTTACATTGGGTAATTTTCAAAAGACCTATCTTCAAGTTTAGAAATTGTTTTTTCTTCTTAATATAGTCTATTGTTAAAGGTCTTGATTTATTTCATTCATTGAATTATTTCATTCCAAGATTTCTCTTTAGTTCTTTTCTTATATATATATTTTTTGTTAAATTTCTCTTTCAGATCACAAGTTAGTTTCTTGATTTCTTTGTATTGTCCATCTGTGTTTACTTGTATTTTACTATTTTTTTAATATTGTTATTTTGAGTTCCTTTTAAGGTATTTTATAGATTTCTTTTGGGATCTGTTATTGGAGAATTATTGTGTTCCTCTGAAGGTGTTGTGTTGACTTGCTTTTTCATGTTTCTTGTTGATGTTTATGTTGATATCTATGCATCTGGTGTAACAGTGCATTTTCTAATTTTATGGAGTAGTTTCCATAGGGAAATATGATTTCTGGTTGATGTATCTATAGTGCCTATTGGTTAGGGTACTTTGACTTAGGTTCTGAGTGGGTGCCAGAGTGTAATCTCCATATGATTTCTTTGGCTGTAATCAACGTCAGTGGTGTCTGTGAATTCCTTAGTGGTTGTAGTTATTTGTGCAGGCTGTGGTAAGACTTTTCTGGAAACTGGGGTGCCAGTCAGGCCAGTCCTCAGGTCCCTGGGTGGCTTGGATGAGCCCCAGATGAATCAGTCCTCAGGTCCCTAAATAGCTTGTGTGGGTATTGGCTGTGGTGAGAATGGGCTCTGGGCGGGCCAGTTCTTGGGCCCCTACGTTGGGTGTGTGGGCACTGATGGTAGTGACAACAGAACCTGTGCTGGCTGGTCCTCAGCACCCTGGGTGTGGTGCACAGGCACGGGTAGTGGCAGCCATAGTCTGGCTTGTCTGTTCCTTGGGCTGCTCCTTCGGACCCTGGGCAGGGCATGCAGGTGTCGGTGGTGGTGGCATGGAGACACCTGGTGGGCTGGTCCTTGAGTTCCAAGGTAGTGTGTGTGGGTGCCAATAGTAACAGTGGTGACCCAAGAAGGCTTATCTTTGAGCCATCCCAGGAGGTGCACACATGTACTGGCTGTGGTAGTAGAGGTCTTTGGGCCCCTTCGTGAAGCATGTGGGTGTTGGTAGTTATTGTGGGAGGCAAGGTGGGCTAGGTTTTAGGTACCCAGGCAGTGTGCTTGGGTATACAATGGCTGCTGAGGTAGGGGCAGGATCACTGTTTGTTGTGGAGGCTTGGGCAGGTGGCTCTCAGGCTATAAGGAGCATGTGCTTTGGCTCCCTATGTCTTCGGGGCAGCCTCCTTGATGTGCTGGACTGTCTATTCCCTGTGTTGTAGGGTGTTGCATGGGCTTGGGTATCAGAGACATGGCCCACCTCTAGGTCCAGCTGGGGTGATGCTGCAGCCCTCTGGGGGATGTGGGAGAATGTTGATGGGGCCCCAAGGAAATGGAGATGTAGGAGTTATAGTGCTCCAGGGCGGGATATAGTCTGGTGTTGGCTCCACTCTGAAAGTGATGCTGGGCTGCAGCAAATTGGGTGCTGGTGGTGCATATACAAAGTATGAATTCCCTTGCAGGGACAACATAATTGTGCTGCCTGTAGGCTCAGGGTCTGGGAGGGTTGAGGGGCTCACCTGTAGTTAGGATTACAAGCATCTGTGGTGGGAAGATGGACCAGTGGGGATCTCTCATGTACATTTTTCCTGAAATGGGGAGTCTTCCCTGGCTCTTAACTGATCCTGACCATCTGGTTTGCTTCTCTGTTTATGGTGCAGTCTCAAGTTAAGTTTCCATGCCTCAGAGGGTCACTGTTACTTCTCTGCTGAATCTCAGTGGTTTTGCTTAGGCTATTGGACATGTGGTTATCTACTTGCTATTTTGGTCTTTTTTTTCAGGAGAGAAGAGTGCTGGGCACCTCTAGTCAGCCATCTTGAAGACCGTCAGTATTATTATTTTTTTGAGATAAAAAGTAATCTGTCTCTGAGTATATTTTTTCTTAAGCAACCACTACCAAAGTCTAATAATGAATGAATCCGTGTTCAAACAAAATTGTAACAGAATTCTGGACCTTAAGGGCACCATGGAGATTTTTGATCTTGCCCAATAGCCTCTTTTACAAATTATTTGGCCAATTAATTAATAATCCACTTTGTTGTAAAAATACTATAGCTGCGTACAAGCCATTTATTTTCTTCCTTTTTGTAAAAGTCTAGCATTGCCTGGGAGAAATTTGGAGGGATTATCTCAGAACACTTAATATAATAGTTTTAAAATTCAGTCATTCATTTAGCAAATACTTATCACGTGGCTGTTATATGCCTGGGGATTTTATTCTTTTTGAAAAAGAGAAAAATAACACCTCACTCCATGGAGCTTGTATTCTAGAGGTGGGAACATGTAACAAATAAGTAAAAACATAAATAAATAAAAATAATTTTAGATTCTGGAAATTGTGAAGTAACTAAGCAAGGCAATATGATAGAGGGAAGGTAATGTAAGTTTGGCTGTTAAGGAAGCATATCTGATAGTTGACATTGAAGTTGAGATGTGAAGGATAAGATGGAGTTAACAAAATAAAGACCTGGGGAAAAGGATATTCTAGGAATTTGATGGCAAGTGCAATAACCTGAGGGTTGAAGTTACTTTGTTTACTAAGAACTGTATTGCTGTAGCATAGTAAGCAATGTAATGAGTGAGCAATGAGAGGCAGAAGAAATATTATGCAAAACTGTACAGGATATGGAAATAAGCTTCAATTTTAAGGGTTATAGAGGCTATTGGAAAGGTTTTTTGACAATCTGATATGGTAAAATATGCTGTTTATGGGGTGTAGTTATACAGATTTTGGCAAATGCATGAAGTCATCATGTTTTGACCACCACAGTTATAAAATAGAATAGTTTTGGTATGGTTTGGCTGTGTTCCCACCCAGATCTCATCTTGAATTGCAGCTCCCACAATTTCCATGTGTTGTGGGAAAGACCCAGTGGGAGGTAATTGAATCATGGGGGCAGGTCTTTGCTATGCAGTTCTCATGATAGTGAATAACTCTCATGAGATCTGATGTTTTATAAAGGGGAGATCCCCTGCGCAAGTTCTCTCTTGCCTGTTGCCATGTAAGATGTCCATTGCTCTTCCACCATGATTGTGAGGCCTCCCTAGCCATGTGGAACTGTGAGTCAGTTAAACCTCTTTCTTTTAGAAATTACCCAGTTTCAGGTATGTCTTTATTAGCAGTGTGAGAACAGATGAATACAGGTTTCCTCATCACAAAGTCTCTCAGTGCTGCCCATTTGTACTCAACTCTTTCCTTCTCTTCCAATCCCTAACACCCTATGATATGGTTTGGCGCTGTGTTCCCACCCAAATCTCACCTTGAATTGTAATAATCCCCATGTGTCAAGGGTAGGACCAAGTGGAGACAATTGAATCATGGGGGCAGGTTTCCCCCATGCTGTTCTTGTGATAGTGAGTGAGTTCTCATGAAATCTGATGGTTTTATAAGGGACTTCCCCATTCTTTTGGCACTCATTCTCTCTCCTGCTGCTCTGTGAAGAGACTCCTTCTGCCATGATTGTAAGTTTCCCGAGGCCTCCCCAGTCATGTGGAACTGTGAGTCAATTCTACCTCTTTTTTTTATAAATTACCCAGTCTTGGGTATTTCTTAATAGCAGCGTGAAAATGAACTAATACAACCTATGATGTGTTTCCCATCCTATAATAAGCCATATAAAATGGAACCATATGATATGTAGCTTTTTGGATATGGTTTCTTTTACTTGGCTTAATGCATTTGAGATTCATCTATGTCATGTGAATCAAGTTCATTCCTTTTTATTCCTGAGCAACATCCCATTGAATGGGTTTGCTAAAGTTTATCAGTTTACCATTTGAAGAACGTATGAATTGTGTCATTTTTAGACTTTAAAAATAAAAACCTCTATAAATATATGAAGGTATTTGCATAAATATAGTTTTTATTTCTCGAGTAATTATCTGGAAGTAAAATTGTTGGGATGTATCGTAGGCACATGTCTAATTTTATTAAAAACTGCCAAACTATTTTCCAAGGATGCTGTAACATTTTGCATTTCTACCAGCAATGTATGAGATTTCCAGTTGCTCTTTACCCTTCTAAGTAACACGATGTTGCTAATTTTTAAATTTTCTTTTTAGCTATTTAAAAAATGCCTGGCAGCAGCCCTATGTGGCCCCTGCCCTGGGAGCAGCCCAGTGGAGAGGGGGCGGCTGTGTGCTGAGGAGCCGATCAGGTCTGCCATGGGTGAGGGGCCTGGCCAGAGCTATGGCAGTGGAGCTGTGGGTCCTTCATAATGAGAATCTTTGGGGCACTTCTGTCTCCTCTGTGTAGTTGGTAGTTTGGGTGGTGAAGAGATGCCTGACAGTGTTAAAACCTTTCTCCAGGACCTTGGCAGGGGAATCAAAGATTCCTTTTGGGGTATTTTTACAGTCTCCAAGCTGTGTGCTTGAATCCAGCAAAAGGGAGAGGAGCAGCATTGAAGAAAGGCAAGTAGTATCCTGGCACAGAGGAGCTAAGAACATAGAGTAAGAGTGAGAGAGTGAGCCATGTATTGTTAGTAGAATTTTTCAGTGTTGCACTTGGAATGGTGGAGTGTTCTGGTCCAGTCTCCTCCTGCTTTATTGAGTGTTTATTCTTCTGCTTTGGTCAGTGACACCCTGAATTATTGGTGATCTATCATGACATGGAGATGCTCAGTCATGGCTAGAATTCTTCCTCATGTCAACCTCCAGTGCTCATTGGGTGCTCCCCTTGTTTGTGCCTAGCAAAGTTGTCAATGCCATTTGGTTTCAAGATATAGCTGACCTGGCATTTGAGAAACCAGTGAGGAAGCCTCACCCATTCCCTAGTGTCTGCAAAATAATTGCTGACATGCTCTCCAACCTTTTGCTGCAGGCTCTTTTCCTCAATCAAGGAGTGTTTGTGGGTCTCTTTCCCATCCATATTGTTGTTCAGCTGGTTAGTCTCCTGCATATGTCTCTTCTCTACTCACTGTGCTGCTTCAAACATTGTTGGTTCAATAAAGGAATGAAGTGCACCAGCAGTTGCCTAACATAGAAAGGAACTGGTCTTACTACTTTGGGTTTGGTTTGCCCTTGGCTTTTCTCACGGCAATGCAGTCTTCATTACCAGTGCAGCCATATTATCAGTGGCTGCCTCATCTCTATCCTTGTTCCTTTATTCCTCTATCCTTGTTCTTTATCAGCACCAATGAAGCAAAGACCCCTGGCACAGCGTACCTCTTCCAGTTGTGCCTCTTGCCCTTGGTGGTCTTCCTAAGCACCAGACTCTTACAGGACAGTCTACCTGCAGTCTGCCCTGAGCAGCTTAACCTCTTTAGGGAAGTTCCCTTCACTGCATCCATCTCCTGCCAAACTGAAGGCTACTGCCATGCAAAGGGCATGGGTGAGGTAGGAGGGAGGCTGTGCTCACTTCCCCCTGCCAGGGAAGGCGGAACCCACTCTGCCAAGGTTCTTCTGTGTATTCCCTTCTTTCTGAGGAATCAGAATTTTTTTCTCTGGTGCACATAAGGCAGAATCTTCCTGACATCAGTGTGTGGATTTTTAACACCATCACGAGTCTGAAAGGAACACAGGTTTTTCTGCAGCTATTTTCTAGCATTTGCCAGTCCCTGTGCCTAGACTGATTTGAATACTTTGTTTTTTTCGCTGTGCCATTTACCCCCCCACCCCCCACCTTTCCTTCCTGCCATCTACCACCCTTGGATGAATGAATTTTATAATTCTAGCTGTTGTATTTTGTGGATTGGTTTTGCATGCGCGTGTGCGCACGTGTGTGTATGTGTGTGTGTTTCTGTGTTTCTGTGAAGCACATACGTTTGATGTGGGAGGTAAAGGAGTGTTCCAGTTGCTCCTGGTCACTCCCTTTATGGCCATCACCGTCTTGTTTTTTGTAACTCAGTTTAGCTATTGGTCTCTCCTGCTGTACTGCAAAAAATAAAAATAAAAAATAAAAAAGCCTGAAGAGATGGGACAGGAGGAAAGACCTCACAGACAGATCTGCTGAGCTTTGAAGTGATTTTCTTTCTTTCCCTTGAAGAGGAAAATGATATTTTCACCGGTACATTTGAAGTCCCCCAAGTATGGGAAGGTACCAATTCCGGACAAGTGCCACTGCAGCGTAACACTCAGAGAACCTGAACTTTTCAACTCTGTTGGTGATGGGGGCAGAAATTCACTGTTGGCCACTGCCAGGTCTGTTTCATATTTCAAAGGAATATTGGGTGCTGCAAATAGGAACTGAGGGTTAAACTCATTAAACCCATCAGTCCTGTGATTGGTGGGTATTTTGCCATCATTTTAAGACACTAAACGTGGGAGGCAGATGTCAAAATACTTGTACAATTTTAAAATGTCACAAGTTTAAAATGATACAATTAAAGCTGGTTGCTAACAAAATAAATTTAAAAAATATCTAGCTGTGTCTAATTGTGGTTTTAATTTGCATTAATGATATTAAGCATCTTTTTATATGCTTATTTGCCATCTGTATATCTCCTTTGGAGAAGGCTCGACTCTTTACTCATTTTTATCAGGTTTGTTGCTTTCTTATTGTTGAGTTTTGAGAGTTTTTAAACATCCTTTTAAAGAAATGTGATTTCTATTGACTTATCTTCAGGTTACCAATTTTATTCTCAGCTGCGTCATGTGTACAAAATCTTCATTGCAATTACTGTTTCATTTCCAGCATTTCTACTACCCCTCCCTCCCTTCCTTATTTCCATTTTTTTTTTTTTTTTTTTTTTGAGACAGAGTCTAGCTCTGTGTCCCAGGCTGGAGTGCAGTGGCACGATCGTGGCTCATTGCAACCTCCACCTCCCGGGTTCAAGTGATTCTCCTGCCTCAGCCTCCCGAGTAGCTGGGATTACAGGTGCCTGCCACCATGCCCAGCTAATTTTTTTTTTGTATTTTTAGTAGAGATGGGGTTTCACTGTGTTGGCCAGGCTGGTCTTGAACTCCTGACCTCATGATCTGCCCGCCTCAGCCTCCCAAAGTGCTGGGATTACAAGCATGAGCCACCACCCCCGGCCCCTTCTATTTCACTCTCTGGGATTTCCCATCTGATCTTGAATTCAAAAGAACATTTTGTAGCCGTGAACAAATTAGTCATAATTATTTAAAATTCCTGCCAGATAACTTCAACATCCATGTCATATCTGAGTGTGGTTCTGTTGATTTGTCTTTGGCAATGTGTTGTTCCATATTGCCTTTTTATGGGCCTCATATTTTTTTGTTGGGAGCTGGACATTTTATGTAGGACATAGAACTGAGCTAAATAAGTTTTAAGGCTAGTAATAGAAATGACTTTCTACTCTTCATAGATTCAAAGCTGTGAACTTGCAGTTTGCTTAGCTTTTTTGTGTTAAAAGAATGGGAGCCATGTTCTTTCCAGTTCACATCCTGATCAGAAGCCCAGAAGTACCCCTGGAAAGTTTAAGCAGGGACATTATATGATCTGATTGATTTATACTCTAAATGTTATGCTGAGTCCTGGGTGTTAACTGGATGGCAGGAATGCAAAAGAAGAAATAGGAATACCAGTTAAATTAAGAGACTATTGCAGTAGTTAAGTAGTTAAATTATCTTAGTTTGGGTTCAGCAATATATTGTTTGCAAAAATCTTGGCCTACTTAACAGATGGGGTTGATTACATACAAGCCAGTTGAATGTTGAAGGACATCTGCCAAAAAGCTGTTGACTCCATTTTTACAAAAGTTGATCTGTAGCCCCTATACATGGCAATGATCATGTACAGGATCATGCATAGAATCATAATGGACCCACATAGGAATGAGGGGTCTATTAAAGCCACTTCTAATTAAGAAAAATAAAACAAAGTCACCTGCCCCAAACCAGATTATATTAGTCCTTCCTCTGCATTTCCACACAGGCTACCCATTGCAGTTCTCTGAGTACCCAACACTTTTCTGGGATTTTAGTCCCTGTCTACCTCTCTTCACTCACCTTCCTTCACTCTTTGTTTATTCACTAAGCTCCAGTATTCTTTCTAGGTCTTCAGTACCACAGGCTGACTATAGCTTTAGGATTCTTGCTATATCTGACCTATTTGCCTAGGCCATTCACACCTGTGACTAAAGATGCTGTGAATTGAAATATATTATGAAGAAAATGGATATAAAATTTCAATGAAGCATTTTATTAGCTAATAAATCTACAATCTGGAAGCAGCTATGCACTGCCCTTTAGGCAACATTCTTTATCCATAGATGACCATGAACACACGTTGACGAAAGTGAACAATCTGGCAAAAATCCATTCGATCCTTCAGTGACAGTAGTTCCTGGACCATTCTGGATCTTCTCCAAATGTTTTATTTAGTTGGGCCTTTTGAAAATATAAAGTGTACAATACGAGGACCTGTTACCGGGGCTTTCTCAGGATGTATGCTGTAGACTAGTTTCACGCAGTTGACCTGGGCTTGAAAACTTGGGAAAATGTTAGTTCCTGTTATCTACCATGATCTCAGTTTTCATCGTCTCATTCTATGTTCTTATCTTAATTTTGTTTCAGAATGTTTTCATTTCTGGCCCTCATGGATCAAATCAGGATTTCCTAAAATATGTATTATGACAATAAAAAGTTGAACATATTTGTGTTTGGTAAAAGCCAAGGTTGCTTCTTCTAATAAGTGTTAAATCTACCCACCATCTTCATCCCATGCATACTGGGGCATACCTATGCACCATTAATATGAATGGTGAATGTTTGGAGTAGGTATGAGGTACTAAATGGCACAAGCGTGATTGTCAGATAAATTGCACAACACCATCCCGATTTGAATTTCAGACAAACAGTGAATGCTTTTGTAGTGAAATTATGTGCCACATGTTGAATGGGAAATATTTATAGTGAAAAAGCATTCATTGTTCAACCAAAATTCAAATTTAACTGGGAGTCCTGTGTTTTTATTAGTTAAATCTGGCAACCCTAGCCACATATACTGTCTTATCAAGCTTCAAGAAATCTACCAAGCAAGAATCCTTTAAGTTTAGCTATTATTTCATAAAAAAATTTATCATTGCACAACATATAATGAAGACACACAGTCTTCGGGCTGAGCCAAGGTGGATGTTTTGAGCACAGTTGCCCTACAGCCAGCGAGCCCTGCATCACCTTCGTGGAAGCCTGGGTCCACTGAGCAGCTTTCTTCCTTTGTCTCATAACCATGTTCACCAACAAGAATGCTAATTCACCAGCTGCCCAACTGAACAGATTCATTGAAGAACAAGAGTAAAGACAGTACAGAAATGAGGCATTGCAGTTGACTCACTATTGGCTCTTCTTGCAGTTCCTGATATGTCATCTTTAGCATGTGGTTACTTACGTAATCTTACCCAGACACTTACAAACCTTTGTTGCAACAAGAATCCTGCAGCTCCATTAGGTGCTGTTGAGAAAATTCTTCCTACTTTAGTTTGGCTCCTTCATCACAATAATCCAGAAGTATTAGTAGATACATGCTGGGCTGTTTCCTACCTTACTGATGGTCTGAATGAATGGATTGACATGGTCGTGAAAACAGAAGTTGTGACCCAACTCGTGAAGCTTCTAGGAGTTTCTGAATTGCCAATTGTGACTCCTGCACTAAGAGCCATAGGAAATATTGTCACTGGTACAGATGGACAGACTCAGGTTGTTATTGATGCAGGAGCACTCACCATCTTTCCCAGCCTAAAACTAACAATCGGAAGGAAGCTACATAGACTATGTCAACCATCATAGCTGGCCTTCAGGACCAGATACAGCAAGCCATGAATCATAGATTAGTCAGTGTTCTCTCTAAGGCAGATTTTAAGACACAAAAAGAAGCCGTATTGGCTGTGACCAACTCTACAAGTAGTGGAATAGTTGAACAGATTGTATACCTTGTTCATTGTGGCATAATAGAACCATTGATGAACCTCTTAACTGTGAAAGATACCAAGATTATTCTGGTTACTCTGGATGCCATTTCAAATATCTTTCAGGCTGTTGAGAAACTAGGTGAAACTGAGAAACTTAGTATAATGATTGAAGAATGTGGCGGCTTAGACAAAATTGAAGCTCTACAAAACCATGCAAATCAATTTATATATAAGGCTTCATTAAGCTTAATTGGGAAGTATTTTTCTGTAGAGGAAGAGGAAGATCAAAATGTGCCAGACACTACCTCTGAAAGCTATACCTCCCATGTTCAGAATGAGACTCTTGGGACCTTTAACATTTAGATCATGTAAGCTGAGGCATACAGTTGTTTTGTCCTATGTTTGGTATAAGTTTGTGTTGCTGTTTCTCTGCTAAGAACTATTTTTAAATGTGGTTTGTTATTGTAGCATTTTTTACACTGAAACTATACTTGAACAGTTCCAACCTGCATATACTGTATAAAGCTTGTCCTCTGAATGGGTTTTGTATTTCTATGTGGAATTTCATATCTCTTGGCATCCTGTAAATGAAGATTAAAGTCCATCCTTTACTTTGAAAAAAACAGGCCGGGTGCGGTGGCTCACGCCTGTAATCCCAGCACTTTGGGAGGCCGAGGGGGGTGGATCATGAGGTCAGGAGATCGAGACCATCCTGGCTAACAAGGTGAAACCCCGTCTCTACTAAAAATACAGAAAATTAGCCGGGCGCGGTGGCGGGCGCCTGTAGTCCCAGCTACTCGGGAGGCTGAGGCAGGAGAATGGCGTGAACCCGGGAAGCGGAGCTTGCAGTGAGCCGAGATTGCGCCACTGCAGTCCGCAGTCCGGCCTGGGCGACAGAGCGAGACTCCGTCTCAAAAAAAAGAAAAAAGAAAAAAGAAAAAAACAAGAAAACCAAGAATGTAAAGCCATACATCAATTTAAAAAATTAACTTATTGTTATGATTTTCTAATAAATGTTTAGATTCCCCATATTTTTATCTAGGTCTTATCTGTGGTCACACATAATTTCAATATAGGCATAATCATACTGTATAACTTGTTGTATCTTTTTTTTTTCCAGTTACATACATTTTTCACTTTGCTAAGTAGTTTTTAATACTTGTAACTTTAATAGCTTCATGTTTTATGATTTTTATTAAGGAAAAATCTATTGTTAGATAGTCTGGCTCTTTATATTATACACTACTGCATATAATAGTATACAATACTATTACTGCATATTATCCACATATTGTAGTATCATTAAATGTTTCTATGCATGTGGCTTGTTTTTACTTTTGGATGGTATATTTAGGATATCAATAAATGTAAATATTAGATGGCTATTGATTGAATGTTTGTTTCTCCCCAAAATTTATATGTTGAAACACTAATTCCCAGTTTGATGATATTTGGAGATAGGGCCTTTGGGAAGTGGTCATGAGAATAAAGCCCTCATGATGGAATTAGTGACCTTCTAAGAGACACAAGAGACTTTGCCTGCCTGCCCTCCCCTCCTCCCTTGCTTTCTCTCTGCTGTGTGAAAACATAACCAGGAAGAGGACCCTCACCAGAAACCACAATGGCTGCCACCTTCACTTTGGACTTTCCAGTCTCCAGAAATGTGAGAAATAAATTTCTGTAGTTTAAACCACCCAGTTTATGTCATTTTTGTTATAGCAGTCCCAATTGACAAAGACATTGATGAGAAGTTACAGCCATTTTAATAACACGTTGTAGATTACTTTCTAAATTTTTATGCCATTTTCACTCCTAACTTTTTTATGTGAGTTTTGTTTTAAATATATATTTATAATTTTATTTTACTTAAATTGACAGATAAAATTATATGTACTTACTGTGTTCAACATAATGCTATAATGTATATATACATTGTGGAATGACTAAATCCAGCTAATTATCATATGTATTACCACTAATAGTTATTTTTGTGGTGAGAAAACTTAACTCTCCTAGAATTTTTCTAGAATACATTATATTGTTATTAACTATAGTTTGCATGTTGTACAATAGAAAGACAAATACTGCATGATCTCACTCATATGTGAACTAAAAAAGCTGATGTCATAGAACTAGAGAGTAGAAGGTGGTTGGTTACTTGGGGCTGGGGTGATTTGGCTGATGTTGATCAAAGGATAAAAAATTTCAGGAGAAATAAGTTCAAATATATATATTTTTATACATAGACTCACTGATGTTATGTTTTCTTTCAGTAATTATTGCTTTAAGATTTTTCTATCAAATCAACTTTTGGGATTTAAATGTTTTTTGCTTATATTTTAATTTATTATGCACTAAATAGCTGTGTGATGTATTACCTAGAAAGAAATTTTCTCAATAAATGATTTTATCTTTATGTCTAAGTGTTATACATTTTTATATTATTTCTTTCAATAATTTTTTTCAAAGCTAAGAAAGTTATTTTAAAGATTAGATAAATATTAAATTTATCTTCTAGCAATTTAGAATTCTTATTTTCATGTTGAATTTTTCTGGAATTTAGAGTAAACTCCTTTCTCAGTTCCATTTTTCAAAGGCAAGAATACAATTCTGTAGCATTTAGAAAAATAATTTTGAAAGAAGCGGTTTTTTATTTTAATGACATGAATTAAAGGAGATACAGCTTGAATGATCAACGGAGAGAAGTAGGAAAATATTTACAAATGGCAATTTATTTTAATTGGTGATAGATTTATTAAGTGGGAATAAGTAAAAGCAAGAAAATTCAAGGGGTTTTTGTTTGCAGTAAGATCATTAAAAACATCCATGTCTAAAAATTAGTCCCAAGAAAATCTTTACAGAAGCAACCCATTTTACACTAAGATTTTAACAGTTTCTTGATTAGATTAACACAATTCCCTAAATGTCAGCAGGAATTCGCCTAAATGATAGTCATTGTTAGAAAAGTTAATTTTTAGAGCTATGTAAGGATAAAAAGAGATGAAGAAATGATGATGGAATTTAGAAAAGGTGCTTTTGTTGACTATGAATTTTTTACCTACTTGTCAAACACTCTAATACACCAATTTTCATATTAAAATAAACCTATGGTGTATTATCATTTGTATTTTATAGACGAAATTGAGGTTTAGTATTTAAGCAACTATGCTCACATCATACAAAGTGTCAGAGTCCCTATTTAAATTCTAGTTTGCTTGAATGCAAAGCCTATTTTAAAAATCACTTTGCTGTACTATTTAAAAGCTTAAAACATGGACAAAAATGCTTTCATATGAACACTGCTGTATATAATTTTGCCTCATCTCCTACAAATATTCCAAATAAGGTTATAATTTGGACCTAAGTTTCTTAAACTTTGATAAAATGACAGTCCATCTGCACATTGATGAACATTTCATTCAAAAGAGATAAACAACATTGGGCCCTTACGTGGCACATCTTGAGCATTATATAGTGAAAAGGTAACGATCTGGTATGGTACCTTCTCTCAGGGAATTTCCCTTCTATGTGGGTTAGTTAGGTAAATAAGTTCAAGATGATATTACAGATTGTAGTAAACAATTTTGGGGTGCTTAAGTTGTTGCCTGTGTTACTGACGACTTTCTGTATCTAAAGGGTTTGGGCCCTCATGCTGTGCGTCTTCTCTGTTAGCTACTACTGGTTCATCCTGTGGCCCACTAATTCTAGCAGGTTCAACCATTCTCTATCAGTATGAGTTGAGCTCCGAATGCTAATGAATCCTTGCATATTGCTAGACCATATAAGTAAACACAAGAGCTATATGGCAGTCATATGACAGTATGTGGCTGGAGAAAATGAAAAAACTGGTTTGCAAAGATAGAAAATCAAACAGAAATGAATAAGAAGCCAAGATGAGCGACTGAGAAAGAAAATCCAATATATTCTTTCATATCCAGTCTTTTTTTCTGAGGGTGATTACATTCATTTTCTATTTCTATAATTACCCCTTAACATTTGGCAGAATTGTTGCCACTGAAATAAAAGTCTCAAATAATACATACCATAATAAGAGAATGTCCTGGATACAGAAGGCAGCAAAAAGGATACTGTTGTCAGTTTATTGTGGGTGAGGACTGGGGAACAGGAAGGACTTCATTGTTAGCTGAATTTTGAATGATGAGCTGGGTTTATCAGTTGAACAGACTAGGAAGTTGGGAAGAGAATTCTAAAGACAGTTTGATAAAAAAGCAAAGACCCATAAGGCTTGATGTGGTGACATGGTGACTCTGAACTCTTCCATCTGATAATCCTTGGTATCCTTAACCTGAATTGTTATGTTCCTGGCATGTGTAGACAGGGCATTGAAATAAATGTTTTCAGAGAAAAAAGCTTGGTTCATTAATTACATGGAAGTGCTGGCCCTGAAACTGAATGTTGGGTTCTAGTCAAGCACAATGTACAGAAATAGGTCAAATGACTCTAGTGAGTTGAAGGGTACATGCATTTTTATATCTACAGAGGTGAAAAAAAAACCACACAGGTTTTCCATCATTCATGGTCTCTGCGGACTTAATCTTCAAGCTTTGAAATATCTTGTTCTCCTTCAGTATCTGTATAAAAGCACCCATTTAAAAAATGAAATAGCTTTTCAGTTTACTCTACTATTATCTTAATTGTTGGAACTTGGAGTTTTTCCTTGGAGGTCAGCTTTGGTGAACTTGGTCCACTGCTGTGTCCTGGCCAGACTTTGCATCTTTACCAGCTATTGAAGTGCTATTCCCAGGTGGGAAGGAATCATGGCAACTCCTCAGCAGTCTGCAGTAATCCAGCTCCCAGAGCAGCCAAGTCATTGCTCTACCAGCCATGAGAATAGCATTCCAGAATTACCTTTATTCCCAGCTTTTCCATGGTCGACACCTGGCTCAGTTACTAATAGGAAGAATCTGACTGAACGTTCCAGGGCCCAGGTGAATTTTTTTTTTTTTTTTTTAAGAGCAGAAGAAGCTGAAATATATGAAAGCAGCCAAATAACAGTAAGATCCTGGTCTCTAATATATTTTACTCCATTCCACAGAGTATGATGTGGCAAGATAAGCTTTAGTTTCGCTTCTCCTTTCAGACCCTGTATTCATTCCTTCCTTATGCAAGGAGTACACCTTTGGAATAAGTATGCAAATTTTTTTTTTTTTTTTGAGACAGAGTCTGGATCTGTCACCCAGGCTGGAGTGCAGTGGCGCGATCTCGGCTCACTGCAAGCTCCGCCTCCCGGGTTCACTCCATTCTCCTGCCTCAGCCTCCCGAGTAGGTGGGACTACAGATGTTCGCCACCACACCCGGCTAATTTTTTTTATTTTTAGTACAGACGGGGTTTCACCGTGGTCTCTATCTCCTGACCTCGTGATGCGCTCGCCTCGGCCTCCCAAAGTGCTGGGATTACAGGCGTGAGCAAACTTTTTAATAGAATAATGCAGCTGACTTATGCTGTGAAAGGCAGCCAAGAGAGAAAGGTTTTATATTTTACAATGGCTCTACTCTTAAGTATCTATCCCATCCCATCTAGTGATTCACTGAATTTCCATTGAACAGCAGCAGAGCCTCTTATGTAACTCCTTCAAGTTAGAGCCTGGAGCCCTAGGGTCAAGGACGACCAGTAGAGGAGGCTCAAGGGGCATGAAAGAAAGCGAGGAGAGTATTCAGAGTGAAGTAGCTATTTTTTAGGCATAAAGGGTGCATTTGTAAGGAGTGAAGGAAATATCTGTGCATTCTTGTTACTTTGTGTGCTTCAGTGGCTATCTAGTAGAAATGTATTTGTTCTGATAATGCACTGCACTACGGGTCCTCCCAGACATTTTGGAACTGAAAAAGGAATATACTGCTCTTCTTCCATTACACAATCTCATTCTTGTCTTTGTTTTCAATCTGTGTTTTGCCCCTGCTCTATAGGAATGTTTATGCTCTAAGCTGATTTATTGATAGTTCTTAGATACATCAGAGATTTCTAGTTAATCATTCTTTATGCAAAAGATTCTGTTTTGGAAATTTATAATGTATATTTATTATTGGCAGGTACATGAATTTAACATTTTTATAAATATTGGTAAATTTCTCTCCAAATAGGTAGTACCTATTGAACATAAATGTAATTTAAATTGAATTTACCGTTAAGAGTGCTGATGAGAATACTTCAGTCTTATTGCCATTTAAAAGCTATATGATATCCAACTAAAATGTTTGCTAATCTAGCGGTAATTTTTGTTAATCTGATTCTAGTTTTAATTTGCGTTTCTTTAATGTCATGAGTTTTAGTATTGTTTGAAATGTTTATAAGCTACTTCTGTTTTTCTTTGTGTTTGCCTTTTGTGGTTACATTTTTATGCTCTTTATAGGATTTCCGATTACATTTTTGTTTTTTCTTATTGGTTTGTAAGAGTTTTCTGTATGTTAAAGAAATATATCTTTTATCTGTCATATTGTTACAAATATTTTTTCTTTGGTTGTTTTATCTTTGACTTATGGATATATACCCTAGTAAAAATCTACTAAGATTAATAAGAGAAGATGATAAGCTAGCTGGATAAAGAATAACCTTACAAAACTCATACGTCTTATCTATACTGAAAACAGTTTGTTTGAATTGAAAATGAAAAACAATAAAATGCTGACAAAACTATAAAATACTTTGGAATAAATTTTAAAAGACTGATCAGTATCTCCAAAGAGAAATCTATACATTGTATTAAGGGAAAAAGATCTAAATAAAGTTTCAAGTCATACCATGTTTCAGGATGCAGAACATTTATTTTCTATTTTCAAATAAATATAAACATTTAACAAAGTGCTACTTCACTTTTTTTAAAAAATAGAATATCATGTTTAAAACTAAAATGGATAAATATTAGAAAATGGCTTCCCAAATTATGAAACAATCAAATAGTGTTAGGGTTCTTGGCTTGTCAGATACTAAAGCTGATTACAAAGTCACTAGAATAAAAGAAAGATAATAGCAAAGGAATAGGTAAACAGATTAGTAGAAGAGAACCAGAAATATATCTACTATATGCAGAAATGTGATATGTGACAACTGTTGCATTTCAGTTCATTTATTGAAGCAGATGGTTTCTCTAATAAGCGGTGCTAGCAAAAATGGCTGTTCAATTGAAAAAAATACGAGCATATTGTCCTGCCTCACATTATGTAGAAATTGAAATGTAACATAGATAGTAGTTTAAATATTAAAAAATAAGAAGTTTGGAAGAAAACATAGAAAAACATTTTTAAATATCTTAAAGAATATTTGTTTAAGCAAGAAAACAAACCCATGAACCTTAAAAACTCCCTAAAGATTAAAAGGTATATAAGCCCAGAAAAAATATATAAGCAAAATTAAGCTAAAAGCAATAGTCTCAGGGAAATAATTACAGTATTTCTGTCAGATAAAGCGTTAATATATAGAGTTTACCAAAAGCATTGATAAGAAAAAGAGAACAGTCAACAGACAAGAGGCAAAGTATAAGTATACAAACAGGAAACTCAGGTAAGAAGGAAACCCAAATGCCAGTAAATCAGTAGATGATATTCAACCTCCATTGTAGCAGAAAAATGTAAATTAAAAAAAATGAGCTTCTACTTTTTGCTCATCACATTATCAAAAAATAAAAAGCAATAAAGCTCAATGCTGTCAAAAAGGCAAAGGGCATGCGTATGTTGGAAGTTGTCTCAGGTAATAATGAAAATTAGTAACTAAAAATATATATAGCCTTTTATCCAGCAATCCCAATTCTGGGAATCTTTCTTATATAGATCAAAACACTAATATATAAAGATTATACTTTACAAAATTTAATGTATTATTTCTTGGTGAAAAAAAACCTTGAAAAACCATTAACATCCATTCATGCAGGAATGGTTAGAAAACAGAGACATTATTCTCTGCAGATCTGAGAATCAACTGAAATAAATCAGTTTTTTCTTTTTCAGAGTAGAAGATTAATTAAACAATGTCCAGTCCATAACCACCATTAAGTATTTTGAATGTCATTGGTAATTCAATGGGATATTATGTGGCTATCATAAAATGAGTTTGATCTATATTTATTGACTTGAAGGGATACCCATAACCTGTTTAAGGATGGAAGAAGTAAGTAACAGAGAAATGAGTATCATATGATCTTATTGTTAAAACAAAAGATAAAAAGAAAACCAAACATAGTTGGAGATGGGGCCCAGGAAAAGACAGGATAGGATTAAGAAAGGAAAAATACTTTTGCCAAATAGAAAGAAAGGTCCAATACTAAGGGAAAATTCTACCTTTCTCAATCTTATTTCACGATAGCACATAAAAGGATCAAGTAACATTTAACATCCTGATGAAGAGCATGCTGCTGAAAACACTGCTCTGGAAAGTGGTGACTCTTTGATGCTTCCCCATATGCCCAAATTCCAAGGAGAAATCTCCCAACTAACAGGTACTCTTTAATGTTTCCTAACTCACAAACTCGTGTGTACCTTTCAGCCTCAGAGTGGCTCCCAATCCTAAACAAGCCACATAACGGTTGTTTCCAGCAATGGCAATGTAGTCTTGGGGTTAAAAGCAAAACTTAGTCTATCCACAGATGATTGGATAAAGAAAATGTGGTGGAGGCCGAGGTGGGCGGATCACGAGGTCAGGAGTTCAAGACCAGCCTAGCCAACATGGTGAAACCCCGTTTTTACTAAAAATACAAAAATTAGCCAGGCGTGGTGGTTGCCTGTAATCCCAGCCACACGGGAGGCTAAGGCAGGAGAATTGCTTGAATCTGGGAGACGGAGGTTGCAGTGAGCTGAGATCACGCCACTGCACTCCAGCCTGGGTGACAGAGTGAGACTCCATCTCAAAAAAAAAAAAAAAAGTCATATATATATATATATATATATATATATATATATATATAAAAATATATATATAAATATATATATAAATATATATATATAAATATATTTATAAATATATATATAAATATATTTATAAATATATATAAATATATATATATAAATATATATATAAATATATGTATAAAAATATATATATAAATATAAATATATATATAAATATATATATAAAAATATATATATAAATATAAATATATATATAAATATATATATAAATATATATATATATATAAATATATATAAATATATATATATATATATATATAAATATCTATATAAACATATATATATAAATATATATATAAACATATATATATAAATATATATATAAACATATATATATAAATATATATATAAACATATATATATAAATATATATATATATATATATATATATATATATATATATAAACATATATATATTCAAATATATATATAAACATATATATATAAATATATATATAAACATATATATATAAATATATATATAAACATATATAATATAACATATATATATATATATATATATATAAATATATATATAAATATATATATAAATATATATATATAAATATATATATAAATATATATATATATATATATATATAAATATATATATATAAATATATATATATAAATATATATATATATATATATATATAAATATATATATAAATATATATATATAAATATATATATAAATATATATATATATAAACAGGAAACTCAAGTAAGAAGGAAACCCAAATGCCAGTAAATCAGCACATGCTTTTAAACCTCCATTGTAGCAGAAAAATGTAAATTTAAAAAAAGAGCTTCTACTTTTTGATATATATATCTATATCTATCTATCTCAGGTAATATATATATATCTCAAGTAATATCTATATATCTTACTTGAACATAAAAAAGAATAAAATCATGTCTTTTGCAGCAACATGGTTGGAACTGGAGGGCATTAAGTGAAATAACTCAGAAACAGAGATTCAAATACCAGCTGTTCTTATATGTTGGAGCTAAACACAGGGTATACATGGACATGCAGAGTGGAGTAATAGACATTGGAGACTCCAAAAGACGGGACAGTAGGAGAGATAAAAAAATTACTTGTTGGGCACAATGTTCACTGTTCAGGTGATGGATACACTAAATGCCCAAGCTCTACCACTATGCAACATATGCATGTTACGGAGTCTGTATTTGTACCTCCTAAATCTATAAAAATAAAAAAAAAGTTTAAAGCCCAACTTTAGTTATTTAATCCCTCTAAATTTTAGTTTCTTTTTCTGTAAAACGGGGATGGTAATGTCTGGGTTTTATTGTATTTCATAAAGTAGCATATACAATTTATGAGTCAATAGGAAGCTATCAGTAAATAATGGCAATTATTATTGGGACATATGTGTATTGTCTTCCTAGTTGTATTTTCAGCAATTTCTTGAGGAAGCATTCATGGAAAGTGATCACAAGTGGTCCCTTGGCTCCTGTCTCCAAGGCACAAGTTTTGATGGTCAAGCATTACATGAAAGAGAGAGACTAAGCTGAATAGCTGGGCTGGGAGTCCCACTGGGATGAGATCATTAACAGTTCTTTACTGATAACTACCAGAGGCAGAGACTATATTTGTTCCCCAATATGTGTCACCCCCTTTTCCACTATAAAATAATCCCAATGTTATGCTGGATGGTAATGTGCCGTCTAAATGACCACATTGTTTAACTCTACTTGCAGCACGGTTGCCCCTCGTAACTGTGCAGAATTGTTAAGAGGGACTTCTTTTTTTTTTTTTGGATGGATTTTTTTATTTATATATATACTTTTTATTATACTTTAAGTTCTAGGGTACATGTGCACAACGTGCAGGTTTGTTACATATGTATACATGTGCCGTGTTGGTGTGCCGCACCCATTAACTCGTCATTTACATTAGGTATATCTCCTAATGCTTTCCCTTCCCCCACCCCACGACAGACCCCAGTGTGTGATGTTCCCCTTCCTGTGTCCAAGTGTTCTCATTGTTCAATTCCCACCTGTGAGTGAGAACATGCGGTGTTTCTTTAGCATTACCTGAAGAGAATTGGCTCATCTGAGGGGAGCATTTCTTTTGTTTTCTCTTCCTTCTCTTTCCAGGTAACAGAAATGTTTATGCAATTGCTGGGATTTCAATAAAGATCGTATGCTGTGAGGTAATCTTACAAATAAAAACCACTTGCTAAAATGATATAACAGAAAGCTTCAAGGATCCTAGACTCTTTATTAGTGGGGGATCATAACAGTTCTGAGATTCATCTCTCTGGATGTCTTTTAAGAGAATATGTATTATTTAGGCTGCTCTTACCTTGAGGTTCTCACTGTATGCAACCGTACTTGATCTAAGTAATATGTTAAGTCCTTAAGTCTTCCTTAAGGCCTACAGTTTAAAAGGTTATCAGGAATGGGAGAGATTTAAAGAAATGATATTTAAATTTGTTAGATATTTTCTGAGAATTATAAAGTAAAATTTTAAAATTATCAAAACCAGTAACACATGGTGCAATGTTTATAAGATTGTCTGATATGCCAAGATTGTCAGCAGAGCAGAGCCTGGGTACGTTGTCACAAAATTGCCTAGACATTCTTAATTTCAGGTCAAGGCTTTCAAACTAACTACAGAGATAAAGCAGTATAGATGAGCAATAGGACCAATTCTCATAAACTTCATTGAGGACATTATAAAACAGTTTTTCATTTCCTTTTATGAGGTTTAATGCCAAAGTGTGTCAGTTATTTTTACCAGAGAGAGCTGTTCCTACACCTAAGTCACTCATAAAACTTTTCATGATCCGAGGGGGACTAAAAGTCTCCTCAATTGCCCAAAAGTCTCAATTTATATTGAGTTGTATTTTACCTATTTTCATAAAATGTCTTTAGTAATCTATCGACAGCTAAGTACTTTGATCTCCATGAAGAAAAGCTGTGAGTGAAACTTCTGTAATATTCCTGAGGGCCTGGAATGACCTTCTTTATTCAATGTTAGCCAAAGTATGAAAATTCACTCTTTTCAAATGTAAATCATTTAGTTTACAAAATCAAATATTAGATTAAAGATATACTTACACATGACATTTTTAAAAATCGTCATTGACGGTTAAGCAGTCCTTAGGGCTTCATGGACTATAAGAAAACAGCATATTGAGATGATAGTTTCTACAGAGTGAAATTGATATATGCAAAATTAATCTGTGTAATGCACAAAATAATGGCAGCTAGCGGGAGGATGCAGAACTATGAATTGATATAAATTCAAGAAACAAAACACATTCTTGTAAAATATTCTTAGTTAGCAAACCAAACTAGAAATCACTAAAATGAGATCTATAACACATTTTTGTAACAGTATATATTTTTTCATAATACAATTAATATCTATCTTCTGTTTCTAGATATTTGGATGTCTATTTACTCCTACAGTTTTACAGAAACTTGCTTCTTACATTTTAATCAAATATAGGTCTTTTCTTTGATTATGACTCTTGAATTATTACTTTTCACTTATAGTGCCAATTTCTTCTATTTATTTCATGCAATATTCTTCAAGTCAGAATCTTCAAAGAAATCTTTATATGCATCATTAAAATGCATTTTCTAATTTGTTTGGCCAGATTAAAATATATAAAATGATTTACATATAAAATTAGATGAGATTTTCTTATGCAGTTTTAAGAGGGGCTGTATGGATATTTGAAAATTTTATTTGGCAACTATCAGAAGTCACTGAACATTTTAATTGTAATGAAGATTGGTTGAGTTAGTCTTGATCTAGTTATTCTTCAATATTTGTAATTAAGAATTCTCATTGTACTGAAATAAATTATGAAACTATTAACAGTGATTATAGGTAAGTAATAGAATTACAGGTGCTTTTGATTACCTTATAGAATCTCCCTTGGATTTTTCAAAATTTCTATAATAAGCATTCTCCAGACTCTGAGCTAGAGGTTTGTGTGTGAGAGGCTTATTGGGAACTGGTCTTGAGAAGAGGTGTAATACAGTGAAGGAATCAGGGCCAGGCAGAGCAAGAAGTTGAACTGTGGTGTGGATGATATAGAGGCCTCTGTCAATTCCTTTTTTGCTCAGGACCTGGGATGGCCCTTCAAATAAACCTAATAGGCTTTACTTCCCACCTTCTGGTAGAGTGTGTGTCTTACCAGGACATCCAGGGTGATCATAATCTCTTGCTCATTAATACCTATTGATACGATGTTATCACATCATTCTGTAGACTGTCCAGAGAAGGGGTCAACAAATTTCAGTCCATGGACCAAATGTGGCCCACCACCTGCTTTTGCAAGTGAAATTTCACTGGAAAACAACCATGTCTACTTGTTTAAGATTTGTCTGTGGCTTTTTTTTTGTATTTTCATGTTTGCAATGTACTGTATGGCTTGCAATGCCTAAAATGTTAGTATTTGCTATATAGCCCTTTGCAGAGAAAGCTTGCTGATCTGTGTGGTGCAGGCCATCTTCAGATTATATTGTGAAAGAAAACAATTGAGTCAATAGAGCTCATTAATTTACTGCTGTATCATGCAAAATCGTAAAAATAAAATCTTAGATAAGCTCCTCTCTGGCTATTACTAATTACTAATTATCCTTCCAGTTCTCTAATTTCTTTACTTCTACTCAGCCTAATCTTTGATCTTAAATAAGAACACCACTCCCTTGAAGTAGACACAGTGATTGTATCCACCTCCTTATTTTATGTTCTTTTCTATTTATAGGTGCCATAGTCTATTGGATTCCACAGTTTCCATCACACTGTAACTAGTACTGTAAATGTTTTTAATTCCCATTCTTATAGCTATATCACCTCCCCTATTACTTAAGCTGTTATAGTTCCATGCCAATCAAAATTTATATCCTCCAATCTTAGCTGGACTTTCAATGAAAAAGTTTATATCGGTTTCTGGTCATCTCCTCTGAATTTACAAGTAAACTATTTTAAACGTTAATACTCTCTTCAAAAGTTTCCTAAATAGTCTTCATAGTGGATGATCTTGTATCCTCCTATGTAGAGAAATAGCATAATCTCAGTGTCTCCTTAGTTGGGTGTTTGTACCTTATGTTTGTCTCTTTTTAAAAGTTTTATCCTGACATGGGAAAAGCAAAGCCCTTCTTTCCTGATTGCTCTGACCTCTTAATCTATCATTCTGTTCTCTCTTGGCTCTTAAGTCATTTTCCATGCCTCAGATTCAGGGATTGGAAAGGCCTTATTTTTTTCATCCTGTGGAATAAAACTTACATTATATCATGGATTCTTAGCTATTATTTGGTCTATGGTTAATTCCCTCAGCTATGATTCTTCGTATATAAAAACCCAGAAATATTTTAAAATACATTATTTGCATGTAAAAACCCAGAAAAATCTTTTCTTTCCATCAAGTCTGGGGTTCTAGACTATTGCCTTTCTCTGAAATTAAAAGATTCTAACTAAAACTTTGTGCTGTGATTTAATGCATCCAGCACAAATGTCCTTCCCTTTTCTTTCCTACCCAACACGTCCTTCCCTTTCCTCACATCATTCTCATATCTTAGTTGTAATAGTCAAGTAGACATGTGGGGTAGCAAAAAGTTCCAATTATGGAGAAGAAAAAACTTATTCCATAATCCAAAACATTATTATTAAAACCTGTGTTAGCTGTATCCATTTATATATTTTTGAATGAAAGCAATGTATTTTTTAATCCATTTGACTATTTAAAAATACCTCCTTAATAATGTGATTCATTTCCAAAATATGTATCATAGAAAAAGTCCAAGCTAATAAGTATATATCAATTTTATGTATGGCATAGAATTCCATGATAAAGTGGATATATGATTATTTCACTTATCTCCTATTCACAGTTCTTGGGTTGCATTTTAACTTTTCATTATAATTTTTATATTATAAACAATAATGGAATTATTTGTTTACTTTTTCTTCTCCACTTGAAAGCTTTAGCACTGTGTTTTGGTGTATTCACTTTTATACTCTTAAAAAGTTAAACTCTACCTGCTACCTATTAAGACATCAACTTATATATGTTTAATTAATAAATGAGTCAGTTAATTCCTTACTTTCATGTATCTGATAAACTCTATCAATAATATTTGACTGCTTAGAGACAGCAAGTGGGAGAGAGACTCATTAATAAGAGAGATGGGGAAATATAGTCTATCGTATGATATATGACATTGATTTGAATATGAAGAGTATATTAATCACAAAAATCTGGTTGTGGTATCATTAAGTATGATAATCTTAAAATTATATGTGTACATAAAACCTCAAGAAAGGGGAAGATTAGAAATTCTTGAGCAATTTAGTGAAAACATGTGATTTGGCTGTGTACATCTGTATTAAAAGTAGAAGTAAGAAATAAGGGACATTTTCTCTATTTGTTAACAATATGACCTTATATATAAAAAATTCCAAAAACTCCATAAAAAAAGTTAGAACTGATAAATGAATTCAGTAAAGTTGCAGATACAAAATCAACATACAAAAATCAGTAGTGTTTCTATACACTGGTAATAAACTATCCAAAAAAATTAAGAAAAAATCCCATTTGCAATAGCAAAAAAGAAAAAAACTTAAGCATAAATTTAACCAAGGAGGTGAAAGACCTGTATATTAAAAACTATAAAACACTGATGAAAGAAATTGAAGAAAACACAAATAAATGGAAAGATATTCCATGTTCATGGATTGTAAGTGTAAATACTGTTAAAATGTCTATGATAGTCAGAGAAACCTGCAGATTCAACGAAATCTCATCAAAATTCCCATGTCATTTTTTAACAGAAATAGGAAAAAATTCTAAAATTTGTATGGGACCACAAAAGACCCTGAAGAGCCAAAATAATTTTGATCCCGAAGAACAAAGCTTGAGGCATCATACTACCTGACTTCAAAATATACTGCAAGCCATAGTTATCAAAACAGCATGGTATTGACATAAAGACAGACACCTAGATCAATGGAACAGAATAGAAAGCCAGAAATAAACTTGCACATTTATGATCAATTCATTTTTGACAATGGTGTCAAGAACCCACGATGGGGAAAGGATAGTCTTCAATAAATGGTATGGTGAAAACTGGTTATCTACATGCAGAAGAACAAAATTAGATCCTTATCTCACACCACGTACAAAAATTAACTCAAAATTGATTATAGACTTAAATATAAGAACTGAAACTATAGGACTACTAGAAGAAAACATAGAGTATAAAAGCTCCACAATATTAGTTTCGTCTGGCAATGATTTTTTGCATATGACCCAGAAAACATAGGCAACAAAAACAAAACAAAAATAGACAAGTGAGACAATGTCAAACTAAAAAGATTCTGCACAGCTCAGGAAACAATTAACAGAATGAAAAAAACAATCTACAGAATGGAAGAAAATATTTGCAAATTATACATCTGATAAGGTATTAATATTTAAAGTTTACAAGGAGCTCAATTCAACAGCAAAAAAAAAAATCTGAATAAAAATGGAAAGGAACCCATAAATATTTCTCAAAATAATGCATACGAGTGCCCAAAAGCTTCATGAAAAAATGCTCAGCATCATTAATCTTTAGGTAAATGCCAATCAAAACCACAATGAAATATTACCTGTTAGAATAGCTACTGTTGAAAACATGAAAGATAAATGCTAGCAAGGATGTGAAGAAAAGGAAACCCTCTCTTGTACACTGTTGGTGAAAATGTAAATAATACCGCCATTATGGAAAATGGTATGGAGTTTCCCTTAAAAAACTAAAAATAGAACTACCATATGATCTAGCGGTCCCACTTCTGGATATACATCCAAAGAAACTGCAATCAATATGTTGAGGGGATATCTGTACTCCCACATTCATGGCAGCAAATTATTCCCAATAGCCAAGATATGAAATAAATGTAAGTGTCCATCAGCAGAAGAATGAATAAGAAAATGTGGAATAATACATACATATATGTATGTGTGTAAATATATATACAAATGTGTATATATAATTCAGCCTTAAAAAAGAATGAAACTTTGTTATTTCAGACAAATACTGCAACTTCAACTCATAGAAGTTGAGAGTAGTATTATGGTTACCAGAGGCTGGGGTGGGGTGGGGAAGAGAAGGAATGGAAAGTTGTTGATCAAAGTGTTCAAAGTTGCAAAGAGGAGGAATAAGTTTTGAGATCGATTGCAGAGCAGGGTGACTATAGTCCATAATAATGTAGTATACATTTCAAAATAAGAGTAAATTTCAAATTTCTCACCACAGAAAAACTTATAAGGGAGGTGCTGGATATGTTAATTAGCTTGATTTATTTATTCCACGTTGTATACGTATATTAAAACATTACATTGTACCCCATGAATGTATAAAACTATGATGTGTCAATTAAAAGTATTAAGAAATATAAGGAGAGCACAGGTTAATTTCAAGAGCAGAATTACTTTCTACAGCTTGCAAATGCCAAATCAAGGATGGTTTTCATTGACACAGTTGATGTTCACCAGGGTGATATAATTTTAAGGCTTGGTAATACCCTCCTGACAGAAACATCTCTCCAAGGATTTATCACTGATGCTTGACAATCCACCGTTGTCAGTTAATCCCTTCAGGTTACTAAAACAATTATTCTTTTCTGAAATGCATATACTCTTGAGAAATCATTTTAATAACTGCAAGACATTTTAAATGAGAGACATAAGACTGATAGCCATGGAGAATACAGGACAGAGTAGAATAAATGTCACTGATATTAGAAAATTAAGAGTCAGTGGCAACAGTGTATGCTATCCAGACTCAGTGGCTCTTAAGACGAGACCGTAGGTTTATGAGTTACTTCACTAAATGTGACCTTTGATGCTCACCTCTAGCAGTGGCTTTTCACACATTTTAAAGTATTTGGATTGAAAAAGAAAGGAGGCTAAAGAGAAGTGCATGCTGGCCCCTCAAAAATCCATAGCTCCAGCTCCAACTTTCCTCCTAAACTCTGTACCTGCATCTTCACGGGTCTTCAGGATGCCTCTATTGCGATGTTGTACATATATGCCAAACTGAAATTTTCTTCTATAGACTTTGCTTTTCAAATATCTATTACAATTTTTTTAATATAATACTTGCTTAATAAATATTTCTTCAATGACTACATGTAGAACCTTTGCTTGATCTGTTTGTACCACAGATTATTACTTATTGCAGTGTTGACCTGCTTAATCATAGATTGTGGAATCCAGAGAAGAGTTCAGAGATTTTTCTAATTCAAACCACTCATTTTATTTTTGAAAAAATTTGTAGGGAAGGTAAATTTCACCAGGTGGCAGAAGTAGAAATAGAACTCAAGTCTCTTGACTTTAAATCACATGTACTTTTAGGCCTTATTTCCACCTAGCAATTTGGATAATTCATTGTCTAATTACTTTCTAGCTTAAGCATATTCTTCCTTCATACTCAAGAGTGTTATTCAGCTTCACAGCTAAACTATATCAATATCAGCTTAAGTTACTAATCCCTTTGCTGATTTTAGATTCAATTTATGGCATAACATTTTTTATACTTCCTTTCAGAAAAAACACAACTGAAATTATTCAAAATGTCTCTGATTTAACATGATACATTGTTTGAATGCCGTGTAGTCCACAATCTCCCTAGAAAATATGCTCAATTTAAATGGTACTGATTTCATCTCAATGCACAGAAGTCCTTGTCACTTGTAAAATATCTTGTACAGTGGGAATCTGTTTTTAAAAAGGTCAAAAATCTTTAGGGTTTAGTGAATTAATACCATCTATTCAGGGATGAACTAGTGCTCTCCTATTCAGGACAGTAGATGGACACATTTATAAAAGCAGTAGAAGATGTCTCTAGGAGAGTGGTGACATGTTTTAAATTTCATGCAGAATTGAATACAAACTTGCTACACTTGAACAGACCAAAAGATAAAATGTCAGCCTAAGAACTGGGAGAACAGGAAGCTTCAGTTGCATAGCAACAGAGGGATAAGTGATACAAAAGGAAGTGGATTGAATAGTCACTTCTGAATCTGTGACCACATCTTCTCTCCCAGCAATTGGAAGTTCTAAGGGTATGCAGTTGCTATACTTTGTAAAACAGTTTGGTGGGTGAGTTATCAATAAACTCTGAAAAATATATTAATGACACAGGTTCAGAAGTCAATGGCATAACATAGGGGCCATTATTCCTTGATGGTTTATCATTTTGTTGTGCTGCCTTTCTCAAATCACCTAATAATTTCTGAACATACACTCTGTGTGCAACTTTGGAGCAATTAGGGCTACCTTCATCAGAAAGAAATGAGCCCATGTCTGTGCCACAGAAACATGAAGTTGGAATTATAGACTAAAATAGAACTCAATTAACTTTGTTTTGATTATTTTAAATTCCCCTGACTTTCAGAATCATGGAACCTGTGGGCTGATAAGACCTGTGTGGTTTGTATCCTTCCTATAATTCTCCAGATTATCTGTCTTCTCTGCTTGAACACCTTTAGCAATGGGAACTGAGGATTTCCTAAAGCAGATCATTCTTTTTTTTAAGATAATTTGCAATTTAGGAATTTCTTTATGGAGCTGGAATTACTTTTATTTTAAAATCATTGACCAATTAGTTGTCTGATTAGGATTTTGTATTGCCTCTGAGATGCATAAGAGATCTTTTTTCTTCTCTGGTACTAAAATGAGGTACAACAAAAAGAACATCTTGGGCTTCCCCTGAGGTTAGAATATATAATCAACATTATACAGCATAAATAATGCTAAATGAGGCCAACAGATTTGACCAAACAGCTTCCTTCCTCCAAAATATACAAGCAGTCTGAACATTAAAACAAAATTTACGAATAAATATATGTTTCAGTTCATTCAAGGACGTCCCCAAAAGTCCAGGGAGTCATCAATGCTGGGTGGAGGCCTTTCCATTTTCTGTCTTAAACAGAGGACTCCCCCACCTTTCCACCAGCTGCTGGAGGAGTTATTTTAATGTCTTCTGGGTAGCCGAGTTCTTCCTCTCATCTCAGCCCATGCAACTCTCCCTCTTTTAGTCTTCTATTCCTAGGTGGAGCAATTTGTTTTTGAGCAAAAGGAATGGAATAATGAATTTGCATGCATATCTGAGCATTAACACTTTTAGGATTAACTTCTTCAGGTTTACAGGCCCCTTTATTTTTTTCTGTTTCATTTGTCTCCTTCTGTATCCTAGGACCGCAGAAAAGTTCTCAGGTTTGTCCAAGCTGGAGTTGTTCTGCAGCAGCTGGGCTAGCAGAAAGCCACCTCCACAGGGCAGGCGGAAAGCAGGCGATCAGAGCAGTGTGGGTTGCAGAGAAAGCAGAGGCTCAATAGGAAACCCCTGGGGGCACAGGTAGGACAGGTGAGGTGAAGGGGCTGAAGAGGGAATTCAGGCCTGAGGCTTCTGGGACACAGGTTTCGATGGAAAGCTTATGCCAGCCTGAGCTGCAAGGTTGCGGAGGCACTGCTGTGGGCCTGTGCCTCATAGAGAGCTCACAGATGTTCTTGAACCTGTACTATCCATTCACACACTGCAGTCAGGGACTTCAGGACAGCCCCTTTTTGCTGCAGTCTCCCTCTCGACCCTTTTAATGCTGTACTCACTTCGAAGGGGAGAAGCTTAAAGGGATTCCATCATCTATCACAGAGCATATATTGAAGGGTGCATTTCAAGTTGAGAGCCTATAATTTCATAATTGGCATAGAGAGATCAAATTGAAACCATTCAAGTCAACCTTTCGATCTTGCAGCGTGACCTTGCATAAAGGCAGGATGTGGGTGGAAGCCCTGACTCCCATTCAAGTTACAGGTCAGCCTGAGGCCGGAATTTAACAAAGTGTAACAGCAGAAGAAATTTGAGAGAGTGAACCAAAGATGAGAGAACATGAGGGACATGTTGTTTTGTTGTTTGAATACATCTTTGTGAAAGATTTTGACACCAGACTTTAATCATAGCTGATAGGTCCATGACAGTACTGGTGACAATACATTTTTATGGAAAACAAGCGTAGAAGCTTAGATATGTAAAAAGAAAATCGTAGTAAAGAATCAATATCATCTACTCAAAGACCTAGAAAGGGCCCAGAAGTCTTGGAAATTTCCCTGGGATTTTTTTAAACCTGCTCATTTGCTTCTAAATAAATCAGCGTCTCTCTAAAATGCCAGAGGTGAGGTGAAACAAACAAGCAAGCAAACACATGGTTTAAAAAAATTCTTTTCCCGATTATATCAGGGAAAATGTCTTCTTACAGACTTCAGGGGTTCAAACATTTTAAAAATGTATTTTAAAGGTATGTCACATTACATTATTGTTTTCTATTATTTCTAGCACTGCAAGTAGTTAAATTTCCTCTAGGTTTAAATCTGACTTTATGGATTAATCTGTGAATCAATTGTAAGTAACATTGTTACTACAAAAAATGAGTTTTAAGTTTTAGAATCATTCATTTATAAACAGAATATAGTTTTTACATTGGGGAATATCTTTAGTTATCAATTAAATACGTGGTTGATAGAGTTCATGTTTAAAATTAAATGCTTTTAGAATACAATAAAATCTTGGTAAATGTCAACTTGTTAGTCATTAAAATGTGATTTGGAAGAATAGCATGCATTGTTTTCCAGTGGTGCAGGTTCAAACAACAACATAATTGCAATAATTAATAGATTTTTCATTAAAACTTCAGAATTACTTTTCTTCATGGAATAAAGATTCGAAACTTCTCCATAAAATGTTGTTGTTATTCTGAACAACTGCTGCCACCATTTTAAGTCTCCAATCCAAAATAATAACAAAGGAAAACCATCTTTCAAGAAGTAATAAAACCATATGACAAGTAATAAAGGGAAAAAAGCAAAATTCTAAGATGCCGCATTATTGAGTACAGATATTCAAGTTTAATAGCATTTAAAAAAGCATGTTATTTCAGCAAGAAAAAAATAGATCTAAAGAGAGGCACAAATTTAGAATTTAGACCCAAACTAAATTTCAAATGCAATTTGAATAAGATAGTCCCCAACTTATAGTATGACCTGTGATTTTTTGATTTATAATGCTGTGAAAATAGCATTCATTTTGAGAAATTATGCTTTGTATTTTGATTCAAAGTTTTTGTTTTGTTTTATTTTGTTTTGTTTTGGATATGGAGTCTTGCTGTGTCACCCAGGCTGGAGTG
Source organism: Homo sapiens (assembly GCF_000001405.40). NCBI lineage: Eukaryota > Metazoa > Chordata > Mammalia > Primates > Hominidae > Homo > Homo sapiens. Next base: position 145,032,767 of record NC_000007.14, read on the forward strand.
CAGTGGCACGATCTCAGCTCACCGCAACCTCTCCCTTGTGGGTTCAAGCAATTTTCATGCCTCAGCCTCCCCAGTAGCTGGGACTACAGGCATGGGACACCACAACTGGCTAATTTTTGTATTTTTAGTACAGAAGAGGTTTCACCATGTTGGCCAGACTAGTCTCGAACTGCTGACCTCATGTAATTCACCTGCCTTATCCTCCCGAAGTGCTGGGATTACAGGTATGAGCCACCGTGCCCAGACAATTCAAATTTTTAAATAATAACTTTATTATAGAATAGTCTCTGTGTTAAGTGATTTTTTCCCAATTGTAGATTAGTATAAGTGTTCTGAGCATGTGTAAGGTAGGTGAGGCTGAGTTAGGATGTTCACTTTGTTAGGCATATTGAATGCATTTTCAGCTCATATTTTTCACTTAAGATGAGTTTATTGGGCTGTAATCCTATCATAAGACAAGGAGCATCTGTATAGAGATTACGGTCATAGATTCTTAAATTGTATAAATGAATTGTACCATGGTAATGAGAACATGATGTGGTGAGAAAAAAATATTTATTTCCACCTAGAGTCTTGGAGTTTTATTACAGGCCATTACAAAGGTACTACAGAGTGATCCTTGTATCTTTCATTCAGTTTCCCCTAATGGTTCCATCTTATATAGTTATAGTACAGTATCAAACTATAGTAGGAAACGGATGTTGGTACAATGCGTATCAGTCTGTTTTGTGTTACTATAAAGGAATACCTGAGGCTGGGTGTACTTATAAGGAAAATAGGTTTATTTGGCTTATGGTTCTGCAGGCTATACAAGAAGCATGGTGCCAGTACCTGCTTCTGGTGAGGGCCTCAGAAAGTTTACACTCATAGCAGAGGGTGAAGGGAACCTGGTGTGTCACATGGCAAAGAGAACAAGAGAGAGAAAAGATGACAGACTCTTTTTAAAAAAGAATTTCAACTTTTATTTTAGATTCAAGGAGTACATGTGCAGGTTTTTTACATGGTATATTGTGTAATGCCGAAGTTTGGAGTACGACGGATCCCATCACCCAGGTACTGAGTACCCAATAAATAATTTTTCAACCCTTGTCTTCCGTTCCTCTCACCCTCCACTAGTAGTCCCTAGTATCTATTGTTGCCATCTTTATGTCCATGAGTAGCGCCCAACATTGAACTCCCACTTAAAAGTGATAACGTGTGGTATTTGGTTTTCTGTTCTGCATTAATGTGTTTAGGATAATGGCCTCCAGCTGCATCCATGTTGCTGCAAAGGACATGATTCCATTCTTTTTTATGGCTGTGTTATATTCCACGGTGTATATGTACCACATTGTTTTAAATCCAGTCCACCACTGATAGACACTAGGTTGATTCTATGTTGTTGTTATTGTGAATCGTGCTGTGACAACATACAAATGCATGTGTCTTTTTGGTAAAACCATTTATTGTCTTTTGGATATTTACCCAGTAATGGTATTGCTGGGCCAAATGGTAGTTCTGTTGTCTGTTCTTTGAGAAGTCTCCGAACTGCTTTCCACAGTGCCTGAAGTAATTTCCATTCCCGCCAACAGTGTAGCAGAGTTCCCTTTTCTCTGCAGCCTTGCCAGCATCTGTTTTTTGACTTTTTAATAATCGCCATTCTGGCTGGTATGAGATGGTGTCTCACTGTGATTTTATGTTCCTCTGATGATCAGTGATGTGGAACATTTTTTCACATGTTTGTTGGCTGCTTGTATATCTTGTTTTGAGAAGTATCTGTTTAAGTCTTTTGCCTACTTTTTAATGTTGTGTTGTTGATGATTAGTTTTAGTTCCTTATAGATTCTGGATATTAGACCTTTGTCAGATGCATAATTTGCAAATATTTTCCATTCTGTAGATTGTCTGTTAACTGTTGATAGTTTCTTTCGCTGTGCAAAAGGTCTTTAGTTTAATTAGCTTCCACTTGTCAATTTTTGTTTTTGTTGCTATTGCTTTTGAGGACTTAATCATAAATTCTTTCCGAAGGTCGACATCCAGAATGGTGTTTCCTGGGTTTTCTTTTAGGATTCTTAAAGTTTGAGGTCTTACATTTAAATCTTTAATCCATTTTGAGTCAATTTTGGTATATGGTAAAAGGTAGAGGTTCAGTTTCATTTTTCTGCAGATGGATAGCCAGCTCTCACAGCACCATGTATTGGATAGGGAGTCCTTTCCCTATTGCTTATTTTTGTCAACTTTGTTGAAGATCAGATGACTGTAGGTGTGTGGCTTTATTTCTGGGTTCTCTAAACTGTTTCATTGGTCTGTGTATCTGTTTTTGTACCAGTTCCATGCTGCTTTGGTTATTGTAGCCGTATAGTATAGTTTCAAGTCAGGTAATGTGATGCCTCTGGCTTTGTTCTTTTTGCTTAGAATTGCTTTGGCTATTCAGGCTCTTTTGGTTCCATATGAATTTCGGAATTGTTTTTTTTCCAGTTCTGTGAAAAATGACCTTGGTAGCTTGATAGGAATAGTGTTGAATCTGTAGTTTGCTTAGGAGAGTATGGCCAAGCATTTTTAATTATATTGACTCTTCCAATCCATGAGCATGGAATGTTTTTCTATTTGTTTGTGTCATCTATGATTTCTTTCAGCAGTGTTTTGTAATTCTCCTTGTAGAGATCTTTCACTTCCTCAGTTATATGTGTTCCTAGATATGTTATTATTTTTTTTCAGCTATTGTAAATGGGATTGCATTCTTGATTTGGCTCTCAGCTTGAATGTTACTGGTGTGTAGACATGCTATTGACTTTTGTACATTGATTTTGTGCCCTGAAACTTTACTGAAGTAATTTATTAGTTCCAGGAGCCTTTTGGAAGAGTCTTTAGGATTTTCTAGGTAAAAAATCATATTGTCAGTTAAGTGAGATAGTTTGATTTCCTCTTTTCTTACTTGGATGCCTTTTATTTCTTTCTCTTGCCTGATTGCTCTAGCTAGGATTTCTCAGGCTGTTATGAACAATCAGATAGTTAATAGAGCAAGAATTCACTCATTACCATGGGGATGGCAGCCACACCCATTCATGAGGAATCTACCTCCATGAGGCAAACACGTCCCACTAGTATCTACCTCCAACACTGGCGATCACGTTTCAGTGTGAGATATGGAGACTTACCCAAACTATACCAATGTGCATTTGTAGATCTATGTCATTTCATCACGTGTGTATATTCATGGAACCTCTACCACAGTCAAAATACAGAACTATTCCATCACCAGAAAGATCTCCCTCTTGCTGTTCCTTTAGTCACACCTGCTTCTCTTCCCCCAACCCCCGACGACTACTAATTGTTTCTCATCTCTATAATTTTGTCAGTTCAGGAATGTTATGTAATGGAATCACACAGTATGTGATCATTTGGGAGAGGCTTTTCTTTTTTCCACACAGCATAAAGGATGTACAGTGGCTAAGTAGTGTATATCAGTAGTTTGCCCATTTTTATTGAGCAGAATTATTTATTCTAATAATGGCTTTTTGACTCATCTAGATTTTGGCTCCTGGCATGGTCTCTTGCTTTAATGAGGTATAGGAAAAATCTTTTAGATATCACTAATACATTGGAGGAGCTCAGTAGATAGCATAAACTAAATACTAGGGGAAGTGGAGATATATTTCATAATCTTTCATGCTTGTGGAGCATAAGTACTTGGAAAAATATGTAATATTTAAATATGTAAATATTTAAAACCAATCGATTTGAAATTTAAGATTCAAGAGATGTTAGAACAAGTGTTATATAAAATACTGCTAATAATGGAAGTACAACAGGATTAGATTAAGTTGTTTTTAATAACAAACACTAGTGAGAAGAATATGTTTCCATTAGAAACTGTTTTTCTAAGAAAAACAATCGATGTGAATTTTTTTACTATGACATATTTAAATGTTTAGGCTCTTCATTGAAACATTTTCATAAATAGCACTAGTAGGAACATTAATTGGATAAACCTTGAATTTCCTTCAAAACATGCAATTTAGAGTTGAGACTTTGGGAATGATACCAAAATCTACCACCTGGTGGCAGTATATCCTAACTGCATACTTCAAAAGTAGGTAGGTGTTGTGACGGGTGGGAGAGGGCGGCAGCTTTGTGAATGCTGAACCTGGTAACAAGTTTGGACTTATATCCAAAGACTTCACACCAAGTAGTTGAAGTGGGGTAGGTGTTTCTATCAGTGGCTAGACAAAGGATGCAGGAGACATGTTGTACTTTCATGAAGAAAAATCTTTGAAAACTATTCTGGCTCAAATTAGTTTTCCAAATTCCAAACTCTAACACAGGAGCATGCCTGAAAATTTCCTAAACAGTGTAATATTAATAAATGAATGAAAGTGGAACTCACAATGGCCTTTTAATAGAGCTCTTTCATACAGCGTTTCTCAGCATATGTTTGTGGCACCATGCCAAAATGCAGCACAGTAAAAGAGCCTCTAAAGAGTGAAGAAATTATGCAGCTTCCCCTACCCCTGGGCAGAATACTAGAGGTTTATTTTCTTCAGTGGGTAACATAGAGGGTTTCTGAAAAAGGGTCCTTCAGTTACAGTTGAAAATGGAGATTCTGTACTGGCAGCAGTTCTATTAAGTGCACACAGGCATATACGATGCTGATGCTCTCTTTTCCTCGTCTCTTGCTAGGCTCCTAGAATCAAATAACCAGTCTGCTATTGTTAGAACAGGAGAATGGAAGAACTTTCTCTGGAAAGTCTGATCAGTGGAAGAGCAAAGCTCTAAAAATATTAACATCACTGCTTTTCCAATGAAATAGCACAGTTAGCTCACCTTATGATAAAATGAATCCTTGAGAGGCTTAACTCATATACTCAATGAATCAACTCATTAGTTTCCCACTTACAAATAAGAACAGAAAACTGAGAGTTGCCAGATATCTGAGGAAAGCCTCTTACATAAAAAATCAGAGACTAAGCAAATGAAGAGGGGAAAAAAAGAAGTTCGGAGGAAACAGACTGTAAGGAGGAAAAGATTTTTAAAATACCACAAATATGCTCAGCTACAAGGAGATATTGTAATCATGAAACAAGAACAGGTGCAGTTAAACATGGACATGCAGGACACAAATACCTTTTTGAAGTTAAAAATATAACTAAAATTCTACTGGAAGTATTAGAAAATAAAAAATTTGGAAAGCAGAACTAAGAAAAATAAATCGAAAAATGGGAGAAATAAATTAGAGGATCAGCAAGCACAGTTGGTGTCTTATCTGTTGAATAGCAAGTTTCAGAAACAGAGTAAATAGAAATGGAGAAAGATGAGAGTTATCAAGGCAATAATTTAAAGAATTTTCCTAGAACTGATACAAATGAGTTGTCAGGCAGATGGTCTCACTGAATGCCTAGAAAAATAAGCAAAATTCAGCCCTCATCAAGGCAAATTATTAGAAGACTAGCAGCAAAGAAAATACCTATATCTTTCCTGAGTATCACTGTCCAATAAAGTTGCCGCAAACCACATGTGACGATGGAGCTTTTGATATGCAGCTAGTCCAAACAAACATGCTATAAGTGTGAAATACACATTATATACACATTAAATACACATTATATTTTGAACACCTAGATTTTAAAAGTTTGTAAAATACTTTCTTACAATGATTTATATTGATCACTTCTTAATGATAACATCCGGATATATTTAGTTAAATAAAATACTAAAATTAATTTCACCTGTTTCTTTTTAATATTTTAAAACGTGCTATTAAAATTTTAAAATTGCGTATGTGGCTAACATTTGTAGATTATCTTATATTTCAATTGAACAGTGCTATTCTAGAGGAAATAAAAACCACAGAGAAAGAATCATGAATCATGTGGGTTCTCTATGATTCTAGAAGCTAGAACACAAAATTCTGAAGGAAAAATCATTTTCCATCTATAGTTCTATGATCAGGACAATTATCAACCAAGTATGCAAAAAATATAAAGATATTCTTAGGTATGTAGGTTCTCAAAAAATTTATCCTGAATACATCCAATCTTAGGGAAATACTGGCTAATATTCTCTATTAAAATAAGTAACCTAAGAATGAGAAAGGTATGGGATTAAAAAGAATAGCAAAATCAATACTTTCCTATTTTATTTCTGATAGAGGAGAGAAAAAAGGAATGTCCAGGAGGGATAAAGGCATAGCAAGCAACAGGTTCATGTGAGCACTCTTCATAGGGCTCCAGGAGATATTTCTTCAAGAAGATGAAATTGAGATATTGCTTTATGTGTCTCTATTTCCTGAGGGAAGATACAGGATTGGGAGAAAGTTTGGGGTTAAATTGATGCTAATTTAATAGAAATTAAACAATTATACAATGATTAACTGCAAGACAGAGAGTTGTACGGTAAATGAAAGCAATCGGTTTACTGCATATCTCCTTTGAGAATAGTGTTACTGTAGTCTTGTAAATATTGAATATCAATCAATTGAAATTATGGTATAACTCTACGGGAGGATAGGGAGAGGAGAAAGAGGAAATGTAGAGGGGTAAGGGAAGAAATGAAGCTTCATCTTCATCTGCCATAATGGGTATTCTTTTCACAAAACTAAAACTGACAAATCAAGAATTAGCAAACATGTTACTTAATAATATCAAAGAAATTTCTTAAAATATCAGCTTTAATAGAATTGAATGTGGCTGCTTGTAGAGAGGAGAAAATTGGACAAGAAGAAGTGGTCAGGAAAATTGCTATTTTATTTAACAACATTAATGGAATATTTAACCTTAAACTATAGTCATATGTAACTTAGACTTTTACAAAAACTGATACATAAAAAATGAGTACAACTTTGGTAATCTGAGGATTCATCATGTCCAAAGTCTGCAAGTCAATCTAATGACCCATAGGCCTAAGAAGGCCCAGTGTGCCAGAAAGATATCAGGCAGAAACGTAGCTTACATTTTGGATTGTGTAATAAATTAATGAGTCTGCTAATCTGGGGTAAAGTAAGTAAGGAGTTGCCCTTTTAAGAACTGGAATAGACTATCCTCTGTATCTAGGTAGCTGGGACCATGCTTATAGCATCGATAAAAGGACATGACTAGCCAAGAATCCAAGCCCACAATTCAGAGAAATCCTTGGTTCATTCTTGGGTTAGGGAACCTTCTCCAGGTGTATTTATTTTCAGGTTTTTTTTGTTGTCGTTGTTCAGTTTGAAAGCAGGTACAACCAGCTTAGAAAAATAATCATGGTAGACACCTTAGTTCATTCTTCTAATAAGCCTGTTGATCTGGTCCTCCCTCTTGTCAGCATCTCCTCCTTCTGCAAAATGGATGGCTGTTTTCTTTATTCTGCCTCATAGAGAAGATAATTTGAAGGGCCACAGGAAGTTATTTGCTTCTTTGAAGCATTTTCCGACAGTATAGATCTCATGAATCAGATCCTCCATGCAGATGATGCCATAGTTACCAAGAGATCGAGCAATCAAAGCATGATCTGTCGAAGCAATTTTCTTCTTATCTATTTTGCCATAACCAACCTTGTAGGTTAGTTCATTTACTGCCTTTAGATTTGGGTTCCCCCATGCAATCTATGGCTCTACAATCCTCAGCATGTAAACAGTATAGATCTCATGAATCAGATCCTCCATGCAGATGATGCCATAGTTACCAAGAGATCGAGCAATCAAAGCATGATCTGTCGAAGCAATTTTCTTCTTATCTATTTTGCCATAACCACCCTTGCAGGTTAGTTCATTTACTGACTTTAGATTTGGGTTCCCCCATGCAATCTATGGCTCTACAATCCTCAGCATGTAAATTGAAGCCTTGTTGATCTTCACACAGGTTCCATTGAAGACTTGACGAAGGCGAAGAATCTGCAACACCTTTTGGACCTTTGGGCTCACACCATTGATACCTCTGATCTTGATGACAAAGGCCAATTTGGCTTCTGCAGGTACATAGAAATTGCCAGCTTTTCTTGCCATCCTCGCCATTCGAATTTCAGTTCTGTAAATCTGCCTATATTCCTTGTAATAGTGCTTCTCTTTTTCATAGATAAGCTTCCTCCTTGCCTTTCAAAGCATCTTTTGGGCAAACTTCTTTCTCAGGCGCTTGATCTTCAGCTCTGTGAAATTCCTTTGCTTTTTCTTAAGGGTTTCTGTCACAGCAGAAACCTCCTTCTTCTTCTCTTCTACACCCTCCATGGTTCCAGTTGGAAAAAGAGGAAGTTCTATTTTCCAGTTTTTAAAGAAATTTTCACATTAGGGAGCATTACAGGAACTGAGAAAGAAGCTTGCATCTACAAAATAGAAAGAATACACAGTTGTCTCAGTTGAGGAGAGAATTGTGCGTGTGTTCTAAAATCTTTTCTCTTTGCAGTATAACAATCTGTTGGTAAATAATAAATTGCCATTTTCTTTAAAGTGAATTATTTAGGAAATATGGTTCCTCTCAATGTTTTTGAAACTATCTTAAAATAAATTAGTTGCTATGTGTATAAACAACAGTTCTTTCAGATCATTAGGAAACATTTTAACCAGTTTCATTGTTAGGGAGAACAATTACATAAGTTGGTCAGATGCGTTAGACAAAAGGTTTTGGTTAAATCCAAGTCTGGGTCACTTCGCATCTCCTTCTAATTTAAATTAGATTTAAATTTCCAAAACACCCAATAGTTACTTGAGGAGATTAGGTGGAAGAACATGAATGAATTGGCACAAATATATCAATATTCTTCACAAATTAGGGATGCTCTGGTAGAATGTGTGTTTCTATGGAGATGAGAATAACTCTGAGGCCATTGTCATGGTCTTGAATGACTGGGGTTCTAATAATTCAGCAACATTCTGTGCTTATGTATAAACTACTATTCATAGCAACTGGCCCATTGACATTTTTGCAAAGCCACTTTTGACACTCTATTAAAGCTTACATTTGTTTATGTATAGAGTGAATATTTTAGGAAATTGAGGCCTGTGTTTTTTTTTAAAAAAAAGAGAAAGTAAGATTTATTTATTCTACGATCAGCTATTTTAAAAACAAAGGGATTACAATTAACACTTGAGCCTGGAAGTCTCCTCACATAGCAAATTGCCAAAGAATTCCTTCTTAAGAAGCAACAGAGTTATTACAGATTCCTGTCTGCAGTCTGCTCCCTATCCATAAGCTCCTGATCTATGGTATATTTGCTGAATTGTCAGTGAAGTTTCTGCAGAGAAAACTGCCCTCAGTGCTGCATAGAGGAAATAATGCTAGAAGTAGAATCAAGCTGGCTTGCTGCATAATCTCAGCAAAAACACATAGATAGCCTCTCTGGGTTTTTAAGAAAATAAAAAGAAAGGCCAAAGATTAGAAAATATATTTTCAAAATATGTATTTAATAAATCACTTGTATTAAGAATATATTAACTCTTATAGCTCAATAATAAGAGAAAAAAATCTCAATTAAAAATGGGCAGAAGATTTGAACACACTTCATCAAAGAACATACACAAATGGCCAACAAACACATAAAGAGATGTTCAATGCTATTGCTAATTACCCAAATTCAAATTAACCTCATAATAAGATATTACCACATACTAGAGTTTAACAGGAGTGATAGATAGTACAGAAAATCAGGAGCAATTTGATTCTTGTCTATACCCTGATGGGCTGTTTAAATTGTCTTTTAGAAATTCTACTTTTTGCCAGAAGAATATCTAGTTTTCCTTTAGGAAGAGCATCTCCATCTAGTTGTCATCTCAGATTTTCTTAGAACCAAAAAGCATTGCCTAGAGTAAAATGTTTCTACCCTCTCTTTAGGTTCTGATATATTTTTGTAGCCTGAAATCCTTCAGTATAATTTCTGACCAAAATAGGGCATCCCACCCCTAGAAGAATTTGGATAAAATTCTCATTGCAAGCTTTGTCTTAACTCTTTCAATGAGAGAAAGAAGTCAATGGATTATAACACTGAGGAGATTCTTGGATGATTCCTCTGAGAGGGGAATAACACAACCCAGAAAATGTGTTGAGCATTCAGGTGTAAGTAGAAGATGTCTGTGGTTCCTCTACCACATTGTGAATCGTAAGTAACCATCAGAAGGCCCATCGCCACCTGCTTGCTTAGGATTTCTGACCCAGGACAGTGAATGGAGAGCCTTGCCTTAGCTTTGAATTTCCAAAACACCCAGGCTCATGGTACAGTATAGTATATGGGGACAGAGATGGTAAGTGTCAAAATTTGTATCTTTCCACATAAGGCTTGGATGGTAGGAGGTTTTTAAGAAGAAAAGCATACCTGGAAAAATTTTATATTCTAAGGGTTAACCTATAGATTAAGTATCTTAAGTTTGTTTTTTCATATCCATCATTATGAAGTACTTAGGTCCAGGAGATCTGTTTGGAAAAACCAGTGAAGTAATCATAAGGACAATTCTAGGAACAAAATATTTATGCACCCCTATTTTTTGATGACTTAGACTCATTAAGGAATTTCAGCACAAATGCACAATTTTCTCAACAAATATTATAAAAAAGATACTGAAAAGGATGGGAGAAGAGAAACAATTGGGGAAATAAGCATTTGTAAGAACATAAAATGTTAAGAAAAGCTAAACACATGAGAGTATTTTATTAACGCTTTCGTTCCCATAAAGTAGGAGTTGAGGTCTAACAAGAATGTTAAACATTAAAGCTAAAATTTAAAATTTGAGATAAGAGAAATCAAATTGAAAATAAAGGCTAAAACCAAATTCTAAAACGTCTGTAAAGAAGCAGTAAAAGTTTCAGGCAAAATGACAAAACCCAATGGGATGAGAGCCTGAAGCTGTTATTCTAGATGAGATTAAGGATAAGGAAGAATTAAGAGCTAAAAATATGGAAGTAAGAAAAAGCTTAAAGGGGAAAATTGTGAGAAAATTTGAAATATCATAGAAGATAAGTCATTCTGACATATTACCAGAATTATTCTTCAAAATGGAATAATCCTATGATGATTTGTAAAATGGCCATTCTTTAAAAAATTTTACATTGCAGTTACAGAAGGATGATTCGCTTGTAGTGGGGTGGGCCATTGGATAGTGAAAGGCAGGTCAGGGGTGTCAAGGTGCCCCAACCCAGTATGTGCAGATGGGATGGTGGGATCTAGGTAGACCCATGATGAGAACAGAGGGGACAACATGGAGTCTTGTTGGAAAGGCAGACTTTGTGATAGCTCTTGCTTGATTTTATATCTTGGTGGACCATCAGATTCTGATTTTAATGCAAATACATTCCATTCCTTTAAATATATACACTCTCTTCCATATGTATTATAAATAAAAAAGAACTTATTTAGAATAGCTCTGGGCTCACTCATGTTTTTGTATATTACTGTATCCTTTTGGAGCTGTTCTCCAAACTCTAGAGGCACCATTCAGACAGAAGAAATCAATTTCAGACACGATGGGATAACAGTTTTCAACTCACTGGGCTGCAAGTTTGCAGGTGAGTCACATAGCCTAAAAGAGACACAGACAAACAGACAGAGACACAGGCGGGCTTACTGAGACGTGGGAAGAGAGAGAAGCAGAGAGAGGATGAAGAATTAGCAGGGAAAAGAAACAATAACATCCTTGATTTGGGCCAAGGTTTTGCAACCAACTTCATGAAATCCATCTGATGTCTGCAACTGAGATGTCTATTGCAGCAAAAAACCCAGAGGCTCCACAGCAATTTTATGTACTGTTCTTATTCTGTGTTTTGTTCTCAGTGGCTTCTGGCCCTTAGCAGTGAATATTTATAATAACAGGGACGGTGATTTGTTGGGAAAAATGGGCAGAAGGGAGAGAAGTAATCCTGGTTTCTCAGTGCAAACAAGGAAAAAAAGGATGGATTTTCTGGTGGCAGTACCAGGGAATTAGGGTTTTTCAGTTCATCTACAGAACATACTGGAGAAAAGTGACCAACATCTAAATATTCCATTTGCTTATAAAAATAAAAAAGTGTCAATTGTTAAAATATATTTTTCTGAAAACTGAACATGAGAAGAAATTATGTAACTATCATACTATGACAGTTCTGTTTAATTAGCAATCAGTACAAGGCAAACATACTTCAAGAAAATTATTTTAAAAGGCAGGATTGTATAGTGCTGTCCATTTAATGAAATTTCTGTTTTCCAAAATAGACAAAATTGTGAAATTTGTGCTGCTGGTGTTCAGCAGCTCTGATCTTTCCTTTATTATTGTTATTATTATTATTTTATTTATATTTTTTGAGATGGAGTTTTGCTCTTGTTGCTCATGCTGGATTGCAATGGCGTGATCTCGGCTCACTGCAACCTCCGCCTCCTGGGTTCAAGTGATTCTCCTGCCTCAGCCTCCCAAGTAGCTGGGATGACAGGCATGTGCCACCACACCCTGCTAATTTTTGTATTTTTATTAGAGATGGGGTTTCGCCATGTTCACCAGGCTGGTTACGAACTCCTGATCTCAAGTGATCTGCCCGCCTGGGCCTTCCAAAGTGCTGGGATTACAGGCATGAGCCACGGCACCTGGCCTGATCTTTTCTTTCTTTAGAGCTCGTTAGTGCCCTTCGTGCCATTTCCTCCTCCTCCACAATGTGGGATGGCACCCAGTGCCCTGGAGAGCCCAGTCCTCCCCTAGATGAGCAATTTGTTATAGGAACCATTTACAATTTCGTATCAAGGAGTTTACAAGTCACTGCCTCAATTCTATATTTTAAGACGTATATTTTTCTAAATAAAATATTTGCTTTGGCTAAAGAGCTTTCACTCACCTATGAGCAGCTGAACAGAGGGAATTTCAGAAGGCAGAGGGTACTTCCATTGCACCTAAAACTCTACCTCTAAAAGAATTGATTTTGTCAGTGAGGAAGGCCTAAAATGGTAGTTTATTTTCCAAAAGTGAAGCAAACAAAAAAAATCAGAGGATATTATATATTTGTATATAATACGTATCTCCAGTGAAAAGCTGATCTTTTTGTCCTTTGTCTAGATGGCTTGTACAGAGGCTAAATGGAATGCTATTTGGTTTCTTCAGGTCATAGAAACCTAGCATGGGGGGGCTGCAGAGGCAAGAGGCTTAGATGAACTGTGTGACTTTCATTTGGCACCAAATTTTGAGCAGTGTGTTTAATGCCATCACACAGTCTTCTAAATTAAACTGCTGAATGTATCTCAAGTTTGAAATGAGTCTTAGATATCACAGCAGCAAAATGGTACTTTGAGAGAGGCTCCTGAAGCACTTCATGCTTAGGGAATAGATTTCAAGTCCTCATAGTAGAACCAGATAGGCATTAGACTTGTGCGCGTGTTCCTTCTCCGCAGTCCTTCCAGCAGCTTCTGAACTCTCTGCCTTTGCCTGCCGTGCAGGAGGGAAGCTGAGAGCCCTTTCCTGCCTGCACTGCCCTGGAGCTCAGGTGGGTTGCAAGGCCCCAGTGAGGTTGAGCAGAGAATGCACAGCTGGAGCATGGTTTACGGAACAGGACAAACTGTATGGCGGACCTATGATGATACATATTCTTAAAGAGAATAATATTCAACCTGTAAATAAAAAACCTTGAGAGAATGGAGTTAAAATAATGTTATCATTAGTGAGCATCTTAGTTTGTGGGAGTTCACATAAAATATCTCTGCCTGCAGCATTCTTGCTTAGTTACACTCGCCTCCATCACTCCATGCACACATTAATTTGGCTTATTATATCAAATCAGTGAATCAAGTATTTATCTAAGGCTTGTTACAGAACCAGCACTGTGCTGGGGACTATGGGAGCACTTTAGGAAGTCAGATGATACATTTCCTTGCTAAGGGAATCACAAGCCTGTTGGGGAAGACACCCCTTAGTAGAACCATGCTAGACTTTATTGTGCATATCAATGTTTGGGAACTTTGTGACATTTCAGTTGTTCTTGAAAGTCTATTTATACATCTGCACATTGCCCTGAAGGGCATGGGAAAATATTTGGGAGGAGAAGGTAGTTGTGAGTTTCCCAGGGCCTCTGATTATCCGAGTTAAAGATTACCTGAAAAAATAGCTGCGATGCCTTCCTCTCAACGCACCTTTTCCCTCTCTGTCAACCAGGCTTTGTGGCTGTATCCATTCTGCATGGAAAGAAATCCTGGGAACTAGTTCTTCTTTGCTTGCTTACTTGGGATTCTTGAAAAGTGTCTATGCAACTTCTGATCATTATTCGATGTGGAACTTTCATAAAGATCATATTTTGGGTCTCGCCAATTTTTCATATCTACCCACTGCCTTAGCTTTCACTGCCTTTAAGGCAGTGATTTTCAGAGTGGTGTTTGTAGATCCCTGGGGGTCTTCAAGACCCTTCTGCATGGTCCACAAGGCCCATACTGCTTTCATAATATGAGATGTTATTTGATCCTTTCACTCTTGATAGTTGCACCAGTGGTGCAAAAGTCAATGGTAGGCAAAGCAGCTGGTGCCTTTGCACAAATCAAAACGGTGGTACCAACCTATAGTTGGGGTAATTATGTTATCAACACCAGGTACTCAGAGTTAAAAAAGTTTTACTTAAGAATGTCCTGATGAAATAGCAAATGTATTCATTTAAAAATTTTTATATTTAATTTTCATGGGTACATAGTAGTTGTATATATTTATGGGGCACATGAGATATTTTGATACAGGCATATGACACATAATAATCACATCAGGGTAAGTGGGGATATCCATCACCTCAAACATGCATTATTTGTTTGTGTTTTGAATATTACAACTGTACTTCCTCACTTATTCTAAAATGGACAAAAAATTATTGCTGACTGTAGTCACCCTGCCATGCTATCAAATACTAGATCTTATTCATTGTATCTAACTATATTTTTAAACCCATTAACCATCTAAATTTTCTATCCCCCCAGCCCCAGCTACCCTTCCCATTCCCTGGAAACCATCATTCTTCTCTCTGTATCCATGAGTTCAATTGTTTTAATTTTTAGCTCCCACAAATAAGTGAAAACATGAGAAGTTTGACTTTCTGTGCCTGGATTATTTCACTTAGCGTAATGTCCTCAGTTCCATCCATGTTTTGCACATGACAGGGTCTTATTCTGTTTTCCACTGCTAACTTGTGTATATGTACCACATTTTCTTTGTCCAGTCATCTGTTGATGGACACTAAGGGTGATTCCAAATCTTAGTTATTGTGAATCATGCTGCAGTAAACATAGGACTGCAGATATCTCATCAATATACTGATTTCTTTTGGGTATCTATCTAGCAGCGGGATTGCTGAATCATCTTGCAGTTCTACTTTTACTTTTTGAGGAACCCTCTATACTGTTCTCCATGGTGGTGGTACTAATTTGCATTGCTGCCAACAGTGTATGAGGTTTCCCTTTTCTCCACATCCTCGCCAGTATTCATTTTTGCCTATCTTTTGGATAAAAGCCATTTTAACTAGGGTGAGGGGAAATCTCATTGTAGTTTTGAATTGCATTTCTCTGATGATCAGTGATGTTGAGTACCTTTTCATGTATCTGTTTGCCATTTGTGTGTCTTCTTTTGAGAAATGTCTATTCAAATTTTTTACCCATTTTCAAATCAGATTATTAGATTTTTTCCTATAAAGATGTTTGAGCTCCTTATCTATTCTGCTTATTAATACCTTGTCTGATGGGTAGTTTGCAAATATTTTCTCCCATTCTGTATATTGTCTTTTCACTTTGTTGTTTCCTTTGCTGTGCAGAAGCTTTTTAACTTGATATGATCCCATTTGTCCATATTTGCTTTGGTTGCTTGTGCTTATGTGGTATTACTCAATAAATTTTTGCCCAGACCAATGGCATGGATAACTTCCCCATTATTATTATTATTATTATTATTATTATTATTATTTGAGATGGAGTCTCACTCTGTCACACAGGCTGGAGTGCAGTGGCATGATCTTGGCTTAATGCAACCTCTGCCTCCTGGGTTCAAGCAGTCCTTCTGCCTCAGCCTCCAGAGTAGCTAAGACTACAGGTGCATGCTACCATGCCTGGCTAATTGATTTTGTATTTTTAGTAGAGATGGGGTTTCATCATGTTGGCCAGGCTGGTCTCAAACTCCTGACCTCAGGTGATCCACCCACCTCGGCCTCTCAAAGTGTTGGGATTACAGGTATGAGCCATCATGCCCGGCCAATACTTTCTTTTAGTAGTTTCATAGTTTGAGGTCTTAGAGTCTTTAATCCATTTGGATTTGACTTTTGTATATGGTGAGAGATAGGGGTCCAGTTTCATTCTTCTGCATATGGATATCCAGTTTTCCCAGCACCATTTAGTGAAGAGACTATCCTTTTCCCAGTATATGTTCTTGGCATTCTTTTCAAATATGAGTTCATGGTAGAAGTATGGATTTATTTCTGGATTCTGTATTCTGTTCCATTGGTCTATTTTTATGCCAGTGCCATGTTGTTTTGGTTACTATAGCTCTGTGGTATAATTTGAAGTTAGGCAATGTTATTCCTCCAGTTTTGTTCTTTTGCTCAGGATAGCTTTGGCTATTCTCATTCTTTTGTGGTTCCATATACATTTTAGGATTATTTCTTTCTCTGTGAAACATGTAATTGGTATTTTGATGTGGATTATACTGAATCTGTAGGTTGCTTTGGGTAGTATGGATATTTTAACAATGTTTATTCTTCCAATCACTGAACAAGGAATATCTTTCTATATTTTTGTGTCCTCTTCAATTTCTTGCATCAATGTTTTATAGTATTCATTGTAGAGTTTGTTTTTTTTTTTTAAATCTCTTTGGTTAAGATAATTCCTAGACACTTTATTTGTAGCTGTTGTAAATGGGATTACTTTGATTTCTTTTTCAGATTGTTTACTTTTGGCATATAGAAATGCTTCTGATTTTTGTATGTTGATTTTGTATCCTGCTGCTTTACTGAATTTCTTTATCAGTTTGAACAGGTTTTTTTTTTTTTTGGAGTCTTTAGGTTTTTCCAAATATAAGATCATCACCTGCAAATAATGGTAATTTGACTCCTTCTTCTCCAATTTGGATGTCCCTTATTTCTTACTCTTGTCTAATTGCTCTAGTTAGGACTTCCAGTATTATGTTGAATAACAGTGGTAAAAGTGGGCGCCCTTGTCATGTTTCAGATTTTAGAGTGAACTTTCTGTTTTTCCCCTTCAGTATGATACTAGCTGTGTATCTGTCATATGTGGCTTTTATTGTGTTGAGGTATGTTCCTTCTATATCCAATTCTGCTGTTGAGAGACTCTGATATATTCTTCAATCTGTCAATTGAATTTTTAAGTCCAAAATTTCTGTTTGATTCTTTGTAATTATTTCAATCTCTTTGGTAAATGTATTTGATAGGATTCTAATTTCCTTCTTCATGTTATCTTGGGTTTCTTTGAGCTCAAGACAGCTTCCTTGAATTCTGTGCCTGAAAGGTTACAGATTTCTGTCACTCTGGAATTGGTCACTGGTGCCTTATTTGGTTGATTTGGTGAGGTCAGATTTTCCTGGATGATGCTGATACTTGTGGATGTTTGTTGATATCTGGGCGTTGAAGAGTTAGGTATTTATTCTAGTCTTTGCAGTCTGGCATGTTTGTACTTATCCTTCTTGAAAAGGCTTTCCAAATATTCAAAGGGAATTGAGTGTTGTGATCTAAGTCTTTGCTCACTACAGGCATATCTGCATTATGGGGGAACCCCAATCCCAGAAACACTGTGACTTTTGTAGACTCATAGAGGCGTCACTTTAGTGGTCTTGGGTAAGATCTGGGAGAATTTCCTAAATCACCCAGCAGAGTCTCTTGTGCTTCTCCCTTACTTCCCCCCAGGCAAATAGAGTCTCTCTCTTTCTGTGCTGAGCTACCTGGACTTGGGGGAGGGGTGACATGAGCACTCCCAGGGACACCACCACTGGGACTATGCTGGGTCACATCTGAAGCCAACACAATACTGGGTCTTGCTCAAGGCTTGTGTCAACTGTTTCCTGGCTACCTCTGATATTTATTTGAGGCTCAAGGGCTCTTTAGTTGGTAGGTGATGAATACTGCCAGTATTTGGTCTCTATCCCTTAGGGCAGTGGATTTCCTTCTGACTCAGGGAATTGGTCTAGAAAAGCCCTCCAGGAGCTAAGGCTTGGAATCAGGGAATTTAGAAGTCTGTTCGGTGCTTTATTTCACTATGGCTTATCTGGTACCCAAGCTGCAAGACAAAGTCCATTTTATTCTCTCTCCCTTCCTCAAGCAGAAGGACTCTCTCCCCATGGCCATCACAGCTGGGAATTTGCTGGGTGAAACCTGAAGCCAGACAGTATGGGGTCTTGCCCAAGGCCTATGCAACTGCTGCCTGACTACCACTGATATTTACTCAAGGGCCAAGGACGCTTTAGTAAGCAGGTGGTGAATTCTGCTAGGACAGGGCAGTGAGTTTTCTTTTGACCCAGGGTGGATCTGGAAATCTCTTCCAGGAGCTACGGCCTCGATGGGGCTTCAGGACTCTGCTTGGTA
This sequence comes from Homo sapiens, assembly GCF_000001405.40. Taxonomy (NCBI): domain Eukaryota; kingdom Metazoa; phylum Chordata; class Mammalia; order Primates; family Hominidae; genus Homo; species Homo sapiens. The sequence goes on from NC_000007.14 coordinate 145,051,209, forward strand.
TTTTATTTTGTGGTGGCTGAACTGGTATCCAAGTTGCAAGACAAAGATCTCTGTACTCTTCCCTCTCCTCCTGGAGATGTGAGCTGCACAGTCTGGAGTTGACAGAGGCAGGACACAAGCACTCCCTTGGCTGCCCTTGGTGTCTCAGTAGGTTGTCACATGTACTCCAAGTCCACTGGCCTTGAGCCTAGTTCAGTACCAAGATTTGCCCAGGAATTGCAGTCTTTGTGGCCTAGACTGCATTTGAAGTTTATTTAGAACCCCAGAGCACTTTAACCTGTGGTGGTGGGGCCAGTTGGAGCTTAAGTTCAGACAGTTGGGATTGATGTTCTCCCTCTGGCTGGCGCTGGTTTAAATGCCCCCTCCGTGGTTGCTGGCTGAATTCTGCCCCATGTTGCATTTCACTGTGACAGGGAAGCACTGAGTTCCGATGTAAAGTCCCACAATCACCGTGCTTTCTCTCCTGCAGGTGCACAGATTCTCTCTCCACGCCATACAGCCACCAGGGGATGGAGGAAGGGAAATGCTGGCAATTCAAGATTGTCTTTCCTAGCCCCTTCAGTGCCTTTTCCTTGATATGATTTTAAAACCAGGTACTGTGATTGCTCACCTGATTTTAGGTTCTATGAAGGTGCTTTCTTGTGTGGATATTTGTCCAATTTGGTGTTCCTGTTAGGGTGGAGGGAAGAGTGATCGCTGGAGGCTTCTGTTTGGCTGTCTTGTTCATTCTACTCCTTTGGTATTCGTTTTTGACTCCTGTAAAAGTGTCCCAATTTTCACTATTTAAAAAAATAGTGATTTTTCATGAAGTGTTATTTATGCTAATATTTAATGGATATTTTTAATATTGCTTGTGATGAAATGGGAAGTATGCATGAGGTACTTCCACTACATACCAAACTATTAAGATCATCTGAAGGAAAAAGTCATGTGAGACTGTGTTAACCTAGTCATTTTTCATGGATATAATTTTTACTCAAATAAATAGCTGGTTGACAAACTACAGTTATTCCACCTTTGGTATTTGGCAGACATTTTGTTGAAAAGGAATGAAGTGAGCGTGTCACCTTAAGGAAATAACTGATGAACTTTGTAACCAATGACAAAATTCAAGTTGTTAAGCAACAATTACAATTCTGGAAACTGTTTAACTGCCTCTTTGAGCTCAACAGCTTCTCAATACTTAAAGACCTTTCTGAGGAGATTGGTGGTGATATTAATGAAAGTGATTTTTTTGATATTGTATAATGAAGTGTGTCAGTATTTGGAAGATGTTATAAAATCAAGCATGGGTAAAACAATCTATTCAAAGTACGTGCTAGGCAAAGTGATTTTTAACTAAGTTTTGCAAAGTTCATTGATATGGTTTCAGATTTCACTTTTGCAACTAATGCTTAAAAAGCCATTATTTGTTGAATGTTGGTATAGTATCAAAGAACAACAGTCATGATGCTCAGAAACATTATAAAATATTGCCTTTTCCAATTACATATCTATGTGAAGCATTATTTCCTTTAACCACTTTAACTAAAACAACACCTTGTAACAGATGGGATACAGAAGACAAAATGGTACATGTTAGGGACCTCCAGTTGGTCCTTTTTCTTTCAACGGTTATTTACTGTACAGGTCAGGGTTTGGCCAAATCCTGTCTAGCCATTCTAGCTATACATTGGAAGACTGGGGCAAAGACCACAGAACGGGTCTGCAGACCACTTGACCCACTATGACATCTTCTTGGATCATCATTTCATTTATCCTTTGGCATCTATAAGTCCCTAGTCCTACTGGGCAATGTGATGGCCTTTTGTATTTCTGGGGATCAGTGTCAGATGAGACACTGTATCCAGTAGTTCTCAAAATGTTTGGGTATTTCCCTTTTCCAGGTGCATATTCTCTCTGGGAGATGGCTAAAAGGCCTTTTGGAGGAAGAATTGGGGCAATAGTGATGTTATATACTTGTGGTGATATTACAGGGTCCTTCCTTAAAGAAACATTGCCTTCACATCAATTAATGGGCTCTAGGTCTAAGATGTTGCTTCGATTTGGAAACGGAATGAGAAGTCACAGCTTTCTTAAGTGGTAGCTGACATTAACATTCTTCTAAGCAATTGTTGACTTTTTCCTAAACAAGCCAAATAACTGGTTTCTCGTCTTTTTAATCCCTAAACATATCACAGTCTATTAGGCTTGATAGATAGATCTTTGTGGGTGAAGGTACTACTTGAGGCTTGATGCCCACTATAATAATTACAGGCATCTTACTTCTGTCAGTTAAAGATTTCCACCAAGTCTCTTCTATAGATATGATTCCCACTGATACTAGTGATCTTAGTTCCTTGACATGTTACAGAGGACAGTCATCATCAACCTTCTCAAAATGGACAAGCTGTCTTTACCTGTGCGTTCTTTATTGTGTTAGCGAAGGGCTTATTCTTCAGGCACTCCTAGAAAAGATGGTCAGATGGCAGGTTCTCCAATCTTGTGTACTGCATCGATTCTAACATTCTCATACTCCTGAGTTGTTCCTTAGTACTCTGTTAAGGCAATTCTCACATATCTACAACATTTGTTTTAGACCAATACTATGTCCAAGCTTTAGGGAGCCGTCTCAGAAACATTGGGGCTGGCCCTAAGTGTCATTGCCAAGGTAAACTCTGAGTCATGGAAGAGTTTTCCCATGTTAATACATTGTTGCCTATTCATATTTCAGTAGTTCCTTGTTTGACATCATCAAGATTCATCGTCACCCTCTTTCTCTGTCTGCTATATGTACATATTTAGCCACGTCTTTTAATTTATATAGAGCAAGCATTGTATTTCCCTGTGTAGACTGTACTGTGATTCAACCCGTTACTTGTCTGCACGCAATGGAGTGGCTCTAGAGAAGGACACACATCTTGTAGCAATGCATCTGACTCAGGTAATATGTTTTCAGGGTGTCTAGACTAGTGGCACTTCCTCTTCTATCAGTGGGAAGGAAGTTGCTTCCACTGACCTGAAGGGTTCAGGGCTGTCTGGGAGTTCAAGAATCTCAGGTTTGTTGGAGGTCACCAACAACATCATCTCATCAGTGGGAAGGAAGTTGCTTCCACTGACCTGAAGGGTTCAGGGACTTCTGGGAGTTCAAGGATCTCAGGTTTGTTGGAGGTCACCAACAATTTCATCTCAGCAGCCCAGTACTTTCCCATTAGCTATTAAGCTTTTGCATTCAGTCTCCTTTGCAGCTCTGCTTCCTTGACCGTAATTCCTGGGCATGATTTGAAACCTACTTTTCCCCCATTATCCTAAAAGATAAAGGTTTCTTTTAATACTTCATGGATGTTTTCTGACTTTCACAACTTGCCTTGAGGTAGGAGTCTAACTTTAGGAGCCTTAACAAAAGTAGCCAACTCCACGATCCTTAAAATTACCTTTGCCCCACACCATTTATGCCATGGCTACTGCATTCACTTTCTGCCTGGACTTCATCCCGATTCACCACCTGTAAGAATCTTCGTGCTAGGCCGAGGCGGCTGGATCACGAGGTCAGGAGATCGAGACCATCCTGGCTAACATAGTGAAACCCCGTCTCTACTAAAAATACAAAAAAATTAGCTGGGCGGGGTGGTGGCGGGCGCCTGTAGTCCCAGCTACTCAGGAGGCTGAGGCAGGAGAATGGCGTGAACCCGGGAGGCGGAGCTTGCAGTGAGCTGAGATCGTGCCACTGCACTCCAGCCTGGGCGCCAGAGCGAGACTCCGTCTCAAAAAAGAAAAAAGAAAAAACAAAAAAAGAATCTTAGTGCTTAGTATTGGCTACTGTGTGCAAGGAGTTGCGACCACCCAACTTACTACCATCTGACCAGTTCCAATTTCATCTCAGAGGTCTGCTTTCCAGGGCCACTTTTGATCCCAGTTTTCTTAGTCAGGGTTTCTGCCAGAAAGCATACACTAAGACAGGGGCTTGTACGTAGGTAGTTTATTTTTGAGGAAGTATTTTCAGGGAAGAAGAGGAGAGGGTGTGGGAAGCATGAAACAGAAGTAGGGAAAGCTGATACAGGGTGCATCTTTGCCTGTGCTCCCACTGAGGGCAAGTGCAGCTAGACCCTGGCAGGGTTTTCTAAGTAGCTGTGTATAATGAGCCTCGAGAGTTTCCACTTGAGGAATGGCATGTAGACTCAGTTATCCACAGCCTCCCCTCCACGGAATTCCACCCCTGATTCCCTCATACTGTCAGGTTGTACATGCTGAGGAACTTCCTGCAGGCTTCCCAAGCAGCCAGGTCATACAAGCTCTGGAGCACAGCGAGAGTGAGAGTGCAGTGCAGTTGAGACAAGATGCTGTTCAATTACCTATCAGAAGAACAGGTGCAGCATTGGGGGCTAAAGCACACGGTGGATTTGAGAGAATGCAAGGTGGGCACATTCAGTGTCTATGACATTCTCTCGCTGACTTTTAACTTTTCTGTATTTTGGGTTCCTGCAACCATGGCTATTATCTGGGCGATATTCTAATTTATAACTGCCTTACTTGGAAATATTTAGCTCCAATTTCTTACTCTCTGATTGCTGCATAGTATTTTTAATCAATATTGCACAATATAATACCTCTTTATAATAAAAAACTAACATATATAAATTGATCTCAGAAGTTCTTTAGAAAACATTTTTAGAGCTAACTTTGTTACTGTTTCAAAAAAAAATTTAGTGAGCTCAACTTCATTCATTCATCAGATTTTTATTTTGAACCTAATATAGTCCTGGCACATATTAGATTTGTGGTGCTGACAATATAGTAAAGGCTGTGGGCATGCAAACAAGTCATTTCAGAACATTGCGAGAAATTCTGCCGTATGCATATGCTCAATACTGAAGGATTAGAGAGGAAGGAGGAGCCAATCTTGGTGATAAAGGTAACAAAGAAGGTTTCACAGGGGAGTTACACTTTGAAGTCGATTTTGAAGGATGAGTTGAGCCTGGATAGATGGAGAAGTAACAATATTTGCAAAAGCACAGAAACATAAAGGAGTGTGTCATCTTCATAATAAGGGGTTGAGGCAGCATATTTCAGGTGGTGTCTGGTGGGAGTGAAAAAAAGATTTAAAATAAATATGGACAGGAAAGTTAGAAACAGACTATGCCAGATCTTGTATATTATATTAGGGAGTTATTTTCTTGTTAGAAAACAACAGATTTGAATTTTAGCTTTGTGATCGAGGGGAAACTAAATTGGAGAAGAGGGCCAGAGTGAGAGAGATTGGTTAGAAGATTATTACAATAAGCTGTGCAAGAGAAAATATAGTCATGAACAGGGGCAGAGGCAGTAGGAATAGAGAATGATGGATGGAATTCTGAGGTATATGTGAAATAGAATCAACAGTATTTGCTTAATTCAATTTTGAAGTAGAGAAAGGGAAGAATCAATATTCTATTTTGGTGACTGGTTGATGATGCCATTACCTAAGATAAAGATGTCAAGGGAAACCCGTGTTTGGATGTCAGGGAAAAATGGGTTCATTTTGAGAAATGTTGAGATATTTGTGGCACGATCATATGATGATGCCCGTTAAGGGAAAACACTCTGTTTCCAGAAGAGCTCATCCACTTCCGTGATCTCTGTTACCAACTATATGAAGATGGCTGTATTTATATATCCAGGACAAATTGCCCTTTTGAGTGCAAAACAGTGTCTCCCAAGTATCTCAGAGTTGTCATATACAAAACTAAACTTATTTTCCTTCAGTTTCTCTCTTTATCCAGTGTCTTTATATTAGAAAATGGTATTACCATTTAAACAGTTCATTCGTTTTATGAATATATTCAAGAAATATTCACTACCAGACATGGTTTTAGGGCGCTGGCATGCAGTAGTGAACAAAACAAGTCTCTGCTCTCATTTCCAAAACAATAAAACAAACATGAATAAAAAAATAGGTTAGATGATGATAAGCCCTATTTAAAAAAAAATAAAGCAACCTTGGGGTGCTGGAGAGTGAGAGGATTGTTTTCAATAGGGTAGTCAGGGAAAGTGTCTCCTATGAGGTAACATCTGAGCAGAGTTCTGGAGAAAGTGAAGGGGTGAGATTGTGGGACACATGGTGTATTCTTTTCCTATTGCTATGGTAATTAACACTATGAATTTAGTGGCTTAAGACAACATAAATTTATGATCTTACCATTCTGAAGGTCAAAAGTCCAAAATGGCTCTTACAGGACTAAGAATGAAAGCATAGGCCGAGCTGCATCCCTTCTGGAGGCTCTGGGGGAGGATGGTTTCCATCCTCTTTCCAGATTCTGGAGGCTGCCTGCATTCCCTGGTCTTGATCTCCTCTTTCATCTTCGAGGCTAGCAGCATAGTTCCTTGAAATAGCCAGCCTCCTGTCTCCCTCCCTTTCTTCATCTTCCTCTGCTTCTTTTGTCACATCTGCTTCTCTGCCTCTCTCTCATAAGAACCCTGGTGATTATATTGAGCCCAACTGCATGACCTATGAACATCTCCTCATTTCAAGATTCTTCACTTGGGCCAGCGTGGTAGCTCACACCTGTAATCCCAGCACTTTGGGAGGCCAAGTCAGGTGGATCACTTGAGGCCAGTAGTTCAAGACCAGCCTGGTCAACATGGTGAAACCATGTCTCTACAAAAGATACAAAAATTAGCTGGGTGTGGTGGCACATGCCTGTAATCCCAGTTACTCAGGAGGCTGAGGCACGAGAATTGCTTGCATCCAGGAGGTGGAGGTTGCAGTGGGTGGAGATCACACCTCTGCATGCCAGCCTGGGTGACAGAGACTCTGTCTCAAACAAAAGAACACAAAACAACAACAAAAGATTATTAACTTAGTTACATCTGCAAAGTTCTTTTGCCATGTTAGGTAAAATATTCACAGGTTTTGGGGATAAGAATATGGACATCTTTGGGTGGCCATTATTCTGCCTACGGCACACGGTTATATATGCACTCCGTGTAGGAGAAAACACATCTAAAAGCTTCGATTTGTGAAGTGGGGGTTGTGTTTTAAAAAAGGAAGAAAAGAAGAAAGAAAGAAATAAAACAAAGCTTCCAGCTAAGAGCATGTACATGGTGCTCGTGCCAGAAACCTGGGGGTATTACATCTAATTAGTCACTAAATATTTTCTATTAAGCTTCTAAACATTTCTTGATTCTGTGTATTTCTCCATTTTACTGCCAAAATCTCTGATCAAAACACAGCAATCTTTTATGTGGACTCTTATCTCTGAAACCATTTCCTCAATCCACTCTTGACTCTTACAATCTATTCTCTTCAGTGAAGTAAGGATCTTTTTAAAATGCAAATTGAATCAAGTCAACTCTCTACTTAAAGTTCTTATGTGAATTTCTGGTCGGTCCTAGGTTAATTGGCCTTCTATATCCATCTTTCTTTGCACATTCTAAAAAACACTTAGATTCACAAGGGGCACACTGCATAAACAACAGAACTCTCCCCAGAGCGGCTGATGGTACTGTTAGTTTGTACACACAGAGAGCTTGGGAGAATAAGCTGAACAATTGCAAATGGAATAGCGGATTGGGGTGCAGAGGACACAGACTAAGCACAGTCAAAATCAGCCGCTGAGGAAGCCCAACATCATGTGTTAAAATACTGGGCTCAGCACTGGGGACAGGCAAGGGTTTTGAAAGTGTGTGGACTTCAGTGGCTCTCTCAACAAAGCAGTGCTTCTAGAGAAGAAGGTAAATAGAAAGGGGGAGGCATCCTTTATAAACGTGTGGTGGAAGGAGAGAAAGAAATACCTGGAGAAAATCAAGGATGCTGCAGAAACAATAGAGAATCACAGGACAAACCAACTCATTCCTACCCCTAACCATATTATCCAAGAAGGAAGCTGCACTTTCCTCTACAAATAAATAACCATACTTTTGAACAAGCAATTTTGTTCAGGAAATGAATTGGAACAAAAAAATCCATACGCAGTTACTGTAAGAGGCAAAGAGAAAATGAAAATCAAACACTTCAGCTGAATTGAGAATTCGCCACCAAAATAACCACAAAGTAGAAGAAAACTGTAATGCAATACTCTAAACTGATTGAATAGCCTTAAACCATACATTTCATGATTTCTACTCTAACCAAATGTAACTAACTAAACAATCAACCAGGGAGGAACAGCTCTTCCTTTCAGTAGAATGCCAAGTAGTGAATATGTATTGAATGATGAAGTTAGAAAATGCAGTTTGCAACCGTCATAGATATTATTCAGGGAAGAATTTTTAACAGGTGTTAAAACCAGTGGGTGGTATTTTGAAGAAGATATTTGGATGAAATTCAGTTATTGCTACATAATGGTATGTATTTATTATAAAAGGAAAAATAGTAACATCATAGTGGAGAGACCTCTAGTAGGTACTACTTTAACCTAAAGATGAAAGTTAATGTTTCTAATAATGGTTATATTGATAGCACGTGTACCCTAATGTGATTTGATGAGAAGAACACATTATTTATTCAGTATTCTAGCCCCAAGTAACTACCTGACTGTAATCATAAGGAAACATGAGATGAACTCAAATTGAAGGACTACCCTTTAAAAATGTCAAGATGTGGCCGGGCGCGGTGGCTCATGCCTGTAATCCCAGCACTTCGGGAGGCCGAGGCGGGCGGATCACGAGGTCAGGAAATCAAGACCATCCTGGCTAACACGGTGAAACCCCGTCTCCGCTAAAAAATACAAAAAATTTAGCCAGGCGTGGTGGCGGGCGCCTGTAGTCCCAGCTACTTCGGAGGCTGAGGCGGGAGAATGGCGTGAACCCGGGAGGCCGAGCTTGCAGTGAGCCGAGATCGTGCCACTGCACTCCAGCCTGGGCGACAGAGTGAAACTCCGTCTCAAATAATAATAATAATAATAATAATAATAATAATAATAATAATAAAAAAAAATATCAAGATGTGAAAGGAAAAATGAAGGAATTATTTCAGATTAAATGATATTAAAGTGATATGACAAATAAGTACAAGGTATGAAGTTGGATTGGATCCTGGACAAGAAAGAAGATGCTACATAGGACATGATTGGATGTCAAGTGGTCAGTAGCTCGGTGACCACCAAGACCAAAAGGACCACTGCTGCAGCTGCTGAGTTGACTTGCCACACGCCTATGGATTTGGCCAGGAAGGAGGCAACAAGCCCAGTTGATTTTAGGCAGTTGTGATTGACACAGCATAAGCTAGATCAGCATGGTGTCAACTCCTCATGTTCCTCGTGTAACAAAGTAACACCAACTTCAGGGGCCAGATGGCAGCTAGCATGCCTGGTGGGTTACTTGGGCAGTGAGGTGACCACTCTAGAATACAGCCAATGAGTTGTATAGATTTACTCAGAAGCCTGCAGCTATATCCTGAGAGGGGGTAGGGGTACCATAGGAAAGTCCTGTGCTCTGCTAAAACTAGGGAGATAGATGAGAAACAGCTTTGTGGCAGTTCCTGCCAAGGCTGCGTACCTCCCCTGGGTCTAGGAAGAATCACAGGGCATTTTACCAGGACTCAGGTCAAAGTGTGGCCAAGCCTTGCCTACATGGACAATGTGGAGACACGCAAGGTTGTTAGTGTGCCACATGGTAGAACTATTTATGTTGAAGGCAGAATAATCCCCTCCCCTCCAAATGATACCTACTCCTTAACCCTGGAGCCTGTGAGTATATTCTCTTACATGGCTAAAAGACCTTTTGGGTATGATGAAGGTTACAGATCTTGAGTGGGGAGAGGATTCTCGATTATCAGGGTGGACTTAACCTAATCACATGAGTTCTTAAAAAGGAACAGTCTTTCCTGGCCGTAGTCAGAAAGAGAGATAAAAAGATGGATGAATGAGAGGGATGTGATTATGAGAAGTTCTCAATCACCATTGTTGATCTTGAAATGGAGAAGGGGGCTAAAGTCAAGAGAGGCATTGGTCTCTAGAATTTGGTAAATACTGTCATTTTACAGCCAGCTACAGGGTCTGTGTCCTACAACATCAAATATCTGAATTTTGCCAGCCACCTGAAAGGGCAGCTACAGGTTTTCTCCTTGAGCCCTTAGAGAGGAATTCAGTCAGCTTGATTGAAGTTCTGTGAGATTTGTACCAGATTTTCAACCTATAAGACTTTAGGAATACATTTGTATAGTTTAAAGCCACTAAGTTTGTGGTAATTTGTTACAGTAGCAATAGAAAAAGAGTCCATCCCATATTAGGATATGTGACTAAGTTGAAATATGGGTATGGGTAATGGTATTGTACCCTTTACTATTCACAGAATTTCATAGCTGTATTGTGGTTATCCAAGAAAATTCTCATTCTTAGAAAATATCCTGAGGTATTCAGGGGTAATGAGAATGACTTAGGCAATTTTTACTCAAATGGTTGAGGGAAAAAAAATTAATGGGTCAAAATGTTAATAATTGCTGAAATCTGAATTAAGGGTATATGGATATTCCTTCTGCCATTCTTGTAGCTTTTAAGTTGAAATTATTTCCAAATAAACAGTGTTTTAAAAAGCATTGACTTCCCTCTTATTCTCCCAACACAGGCCTTAGCATGGCCTGCTATCTCTGGTGGGGTGGGCTCTGGCTGACCTTTGCAGCTGTATGTGCCATTCCTCTTCCCTTTGTTCATCCTCCTCCTCTCTATCTGGTATAATTTTTGCTTCTTTTTTTGTTTGACAGTTATGATACCAAAGAAAGATAAAACAGAAAAGAATACAACAAAACCCTTTTAACCATTAATGCATTATACAAGACAAAAAAATTAATAATGCATTAAAAGACTAAATAAAAATTGAAGTGCCTTTAAAAAATTTAAATTCCTGACTTAGGAATAAATAACAAATACAGGGAACAGATGTTACTTCAATTAAAGATATGCATTTTTCTATATAAGATGCTTGTTGTAAGAGCTCACTTTAGTGATAAGAAAAGAGAGCTGCTTATAGGAGAATGTTGAGGGTCTTTTCTGCAGCACTGTACTCTACTCTGGATAATACCAAGTCTGCACTCAAGTCCAGTGGAGTGGCTTCTGTTTCACACAGCATTCTCAGTGATGTTCCAGCTATAAGTTTATGTGGAAGAACAGGGTCACACAAAATTACATTACAGTACATGCAGCATTACATTACACTCATTACAACCTTATTTTGTTACATTACTTACATACATTACCTTACACAGAATCCATTACATGCAGCATAACATTACACTATATGCAACATTACATTATCCAAGGTCATACAACATTTCACAAGGTTCAAGGTCTAGCCTTAACATACTTTTGAGCTCTTCAACCACATCCTAATTTGGGATAATAATATTTAATATTTAATAATATTTAATAGTGGCTCATTTCCTGTTTTCCCTTACTCACTGAACAAATCTTTACTGACTAATAGCATTCTGCCTGGGACAGACATTTTGTGAAAGTATGTCCAATGCACTATGTGTGAAGAGATAAAATGATGAGGAAACAAATAAATGATGTCTACAAATAATCACCAGGTCAGACAATAGGCAAACATTACCAAAAAATGTGAAAAAGTTGTCTTAATATTTTTAGTATTTGTCTTTGTTTTATCCTGAATTTGCTCATGAGGTGTTCTGAATCAGATTTCCTAATAATTACCTCAAAATAAATAATGTGTCCCATGTTCAAGGCTTACCCTTTGGCCATGCAATAAGAACCAATGAGAATTCTTCAACCATGAGGGGTCTGATATTCCAAGGGTGAGAAACAAAGAACAATGGATTAACAATGGACCATTAGCCATCTCCCTTCTTGACCCAAGAAAACTTTTACTCCTTTGAGAAAAGGTGAAAAGAATCCTGGGTTCTCACCTTTTGTAATGTTAGTATGTCTTTCCAAGGACCTGATAAACCCTGGGTATCTCTGGCTTTTTTTTTTTTTTTTTTTTTTTTTTTTTTTTTAAGACGGAGTCTGGCTCTGTCGCCCAGGCTGGAGTGCAGTGGCGTGATCTCAGCTCACTGCAACCTCCGCCTCCCGTGTTCAAGCGATTCTCCTGCCTCAGCCTCCTGAGTAGCTGGGATTACAGGCGCGTGCCACTACATCTAGTTAATTTTTGTATTTTTGGTAGAGATGGGGTTTCACCATGTTGGTCAGGCTGGCCTTGAACTCCTGAACTTGTGATCTGCCTTCCTCCGCCTACCAAAGTGCTGGGATCTGCCTGCCTCCGCCTCCAAAGTGCCAGGCTTCTCTGGCTTTTATGACCTAAAGATGTCTTCAAGGCCTGGACTTCCTACCTTTTGAAATATAAATAGCTAGCAAGGTAGAACCTGGGTCTTCTTGACATTTGTAGCTTAACCTAGGAATTTACACCATTCTGTAAGAAAAGTTTCATTCTCCTTTTCTATATCCCTATATTGAAATATCTCAGAACAATTAAGTAAACAATGGATACAAACCTAATTCTCATGGTATGTAAAGAGTCTCAGGAGGTCATAGCTTTTGTAGGAGTACTGATGAATTTAGGGAAGTTTTATTTTCCATCAGAAGTGATAACAACAAATTCAAAGGAGATACAAAGAAGGAGCCGGAAGATGTGCATATTCTTCATGGAAAAAAATGTATTTTAGCTGAGGATTGAATGGTAAATATAATTTCAATAAGTGCAAATGGGAGATGCTAGTGATGTCATAATTTATGAACAATAAAGGTTAGTATGTCCAAATTATAAGGATTATTGTTCATAATTTATAAGGGTTTGAAACAATGCAAATTTATAAGTGGTCGATTTATTTTTGTTATTGCATACCAGAATAAACTTTGCAAAAAGAACTTCAGAAGTAGCACATAATCAACCTTGTTTATATATTTAAAAAATAATTGAAATAAAATGCAATTTAATTAAAATGTATTGGATAAAAAATAGATGAAAAATGTTAACTTTATTCATATATATATATTCAAATATACATATATATATTTGGTTAGTTCACCAAAGTGAAATCTTTTATTTATTTTTGATTTGGGGTCTAACTGAAGCTTCGTGGACAATCTTATTTTCCTAAAATAAGTAGCTGAAGTGAAGTGTCTTCTAGCTAATTGTTTTTTTCCTCCTCACTTCCCCGTTCTTCTGGATTAAACATGGGATGAGAATATTGCTCTGAGTTTACTATTGCGAAATACTTGGGAGGTAATGCATACGTTGTTAGAAAAGATTTATGAGAGGATGGTTAATACAAAATAAAGATCTGTTTCTCCCTTGAAATAGATAAAAGTATATCATCACAT